>NC_000005.10:84352231-84655261 GCF_000001405.40 Homo sapiens
CTTAAAGAGCCAAAGATAGAACTACCATTTGATCCAGCAATCTCATTACCGGGTATTTACTCAAAGGAAAATAAATCATTTTACCAAAAAGACATCTGCCCTGTTATGTTCATGACAACAGTATTCACAATAGCAAAGTCATGGAATCAACCTGAGTGTCTGCCAGAGGATGATTAGATTCAGAATGTGGTGTGCATAGGTTACACACACACACACCATGGGATTCTATGCAGCCATAAAAAATGAAATAATGTCTTTGCAGCAACATGGATGGAGCTCGGGGCCATTATCCTTAGTGAAATGACTCACAAACCAAAATTCAAAAACCACATGTTCTCACTTGGGAGCTAAACAATGGGTACACACGGACATACAGAGTAGAATAATAGATATTAGAGATTCCAAATGGTGGGAGGGTAGAAGGAGAGTGATAGAAGAAATACCATCTATTGGGAGCAATGTACATTATTCAAGTGATAGGTGCACTAAAAGCCCAGATTTCACCACTACACAGTATATCCACATAACACAACTGCACTTATAGCCCTAAATCCATAAAAATAAAAAATGTGATTTCAAAAAAAGAAATATGATGTGATACAATGGCCCAAAAAATAATAAAAATGAAATAAATAAGATTTTAACAATTCCTCCCTCACTTCTCACCATAGGAGATGGCATGTTAGTTTTGTTTCCTTGATGGGTATACAAACAGCATAGGTATTGGGGCAGGAACAGCAGGTTTTTGTATCAGGCAGACATTGAGTAGGGTACTTCTTAGAGGCAACAGTCAGGGATGATAGTCAACATATTTAACAACTGTTAAATTATGGGCATCAATCAATGTGAATAGCTGCTGCACCCAATCAATGTGAATAGCTGCTGCACCCAATCAAAATTATAAGCACCAACCAATGTGAATTATGTTAAATTATGGGTGCCAACCAACGTGAATCATGTTAAATTATGGGCACCAACCAATGTGAATAGCTGCTGTGCCCAATCAAAAGGGAAGGAAGTTCCATGTGAACCACCTATTATAGACACACTTTTGTGTCAGCATGAGTATCAGCACTGGCAGAAAGGCAGGTGGTAGGGCAAAGATTGAGCTCTGAAGACTTATTTCATGTGTGACATCGAATCCGTAACTTAAACTCACAACATTGTGACATTCTCATCTGTAAAATGGGGTATGTTTGCAAGATAGATACTACCCAAAGATAACTAATTCTAGGATAAAGACATTTTAAACAATAAATCTACCAAAGATATCTATGGTAAAAATAAGTTTGGTTGGAACTTATCTTGAACGAAAAACTGAAATCATTTATTTCAACGAATACTTAGGAAAATTAAAATTTCCCTAGTATTCAGAACAAAGAATAAATAATTGATTGCTTGAAGAGGAAGAAATTTGGGTTATTTTGCCCACCAAAAATGTACAATAACATATTTTCCACTTCAGTGATGAGTCTGACAGCACATACCTACAGGTCATTTTGAAAAACAGTATTATAGATGTTCATCAGTTATTCCAAGGACTGCTCTTAATTCTTTGTCATTTTTATCATTCTCATTTGAATTCCTATTGTTGTGGATTAACATTATATTTATTTTGTATTTTTCAAAATTTACTATATCTGATCATTGGTTAGAAAAATCAACAATACACAGGTTCAAGCTATTGTGTTAAACAGAGAGTGCTGTTTAAATGAAAACTAACTTTATTAGTCCTCTCTTCACTAGTTACCATTTCAATCCTTTTAAAAGTTTTTGCCTCCATGAGAAACTTCATAACTCTAGGCATGTGGAAAACAAATACTTATGTAATAAGAATCTTGTAGATAAATCACTTGCGAACCTAGTGAGGACCAAATAAAATAATATCAATTAGAATTAGAACACAGTAAGAGTGCAATAAAAGCCACATGCTAGTAATCTTCCATTTGATTTCACTGTGTAGATACCAGTCTTTGAATACCAAGAATGCACAGTAACACTAGGAAGAAAGCCATGTGAGTGTCTCTTCTCTTGCCCTCTCTATGGTGACAATGTCTCTAACTGCCAATGAGTCAGCTAAAAATAATTTTTTAATACCTCGCCATTTGACCATAAATAGCTATCCTATGCAAAGGCATTTTATGGCCAGGCACGGTGGCTCACACCTTTAATACCAGTACTTTGGGAAGCCGAGGCAAGCAGATCTCTTGAGGTCAGGAGTTCGAGACCAGACTGGCCAATGTGGCAAAACCCTGTCTCTACTAAAAATACAAAAATTAGCCGGGTATGGTGGTGCATGCCTGTAATACCAGCTACTCGGGAAGCTGAGGCAGGAGAATTGCTTGAACCTGGGAGGAGGAGGTTGCATTGAGCTGAGATCACGCCACTGCACTCCAGCCTGGGCAACAGAGTGAGACTCCATCTCAAAAAAAAAAAAAGCACTAAAAAATAAAATTAACTTTATAATTTTTTGTAGCTTACACATGTTACAATTCCACAAATATGTATAACTGAAATATATTCAAGATCTATGTACTATAAAATTCCATTTGACATCTTACACAATTTTTATACCTTAACAATCTTCATTTCCTTATAAGAATTTCCTTATAAGAATCATTTTAGTATCTGTAGTTTATGTTTGCTTCATATTTTTTAAGCATCTCATTAAAAATCACCTATTATTTTTTCCTTCATTTCACCCTTGGTGAATCTGACGATTATGCGTCTTTGGGTTGCTCTTCTCGAGGAGTATCTTTGTGGTGTTCTCTATATTTCCTGAATTTGAATGTTGGCCTGTCTTGCTAGGCTAGGGAAGATCTCCTGGATAATATCCTGAAGTGTGCTTTCCAACTTGATTCCATTCTCCCTGTCACTTTCAGGTACACCAATCAAACGTAAGTTTGGTCTTTTCACACAGTCCCATATTTCTTTGAGGCTTTGTTCATTCCCTTTCATTTTTTTTCTCTAATCTTGTCTTCACGCTTTATTTCATTAAGTTAATCTTCAATCTCTGATATCCTTTCTTCCGCTTGATTAATTCGGCTATTGGTACTTGTGTATGCTTCACGAAGTTCTCGTGCTGTGTTTTTCAGCTCCATCAGGTCATTTATGTTCTTCTCTAAACTGGTTATTCTAGTTAGCAATTCCTCTAACCTTTTTTAAAGGTTCTTAGCTTCCTTGCATTGGGTTACAACATGCTCCTTTAGCTCAGAAGAGTTTATTACCCACCTTCTGAAGCCTACTTCTGACAATTTGTCAAACTCATTCTCCATCCAGTTTGTTGGTTTTCCTTTTACCAATCAGGCCCCTCTGCTGCAGGTCTGCTGGAGTTTGCTGGAGGTCCACTCCAGACCCTGTTTGCCTAGGTATCACCAGCGGAGGCTGCAGAACAGCAAATATTGCTGCCTGTTCCTTCCTCTGGAAGCTTCGTCCCAGAGGGCCACCCACCAGATGCCAGCTGGAGCTTTCCTGTATGAGGTGTCTGTCGACCCCTGCCAGGAGGTGGTTTCCAATCAGGAGGCACAGGCATCAGGGACCCACTTGAGGAAGCAGTCTGTCCCTTTGCAGAGCTCAAGCACTGTGCTGGGAGATCTACTGCTCTCTTCAGAGCCAGCAGGCAGGAATGTTTAAGTCTGCAAAGCTGTGTCCACAGCCACCCCTTCCCCTAGTTGTTCTGTCCCAGGGAGATGGGAGTTTTAATTATAAGCCCCTGACTTGGGCTGCTGCCTTTCATTCCGTTAAAGTGAATGCTATGAATATATGGATCTCTATTTTAAAAAACCTTCCAAATCAGAGCAGATGGCCGATTTATCTCTAACAATATTAAACATAATGGTATTTTACTACTATGAAATTATATAGGCACCTTTCAAGGTTCATTTTTAACAAAGTTGCAAGAGTGTTGGGAAGTGTAGCTTCACATTAAAAAACAGCAAAAGAAACAAACCTTTGGGAGGAAATTGTGATTCAGTTCACCACCACTATTATGTCTTTTAAATGAACTGATAAACATATGCTTAAACACATTGCTGTCTAATTTAGTTGTTCTTTCAGACAAACTCCACGAATGTTTTAAAAATCTTAACCAACCACATTAAAAGAACGGCCAGGATTATCTAAGTGGGGAACATGCTTTTCCATCAGTGTCCTATTCCAGAACTGCACTCCTTTCTGGATGCTCTAGGAAAGAATCTGTTACCTTGCCTTCAGCAGCTGCTAGAAGCTGCCCACAAATCCAGTGGTGACCAGCTGAGTATTCTGCATAACGATCACTCTGACTCTTCTTCTTCCATCACATCTCCTTCAAATCTCCTGCCTACCTCTTTCACTTACAAGCATCCTTGTAATTACATTGAGCCCAGCAGATAATCCAGGATAATCTCCCCATTTCAAGATTTGTAGCGTAATCATATCTACACAGTCCCTTTTATTCAGGGAAGAACAGGTTCGGGGAAGGACATGGACATCTTTGCAGGACCATTTTTCTGCCTACCACAATCAGATAAATGCAGTGCTCTTATTTCTTCTTTCATGTAATCTTAGGTCTAACAAACCATACTCATTTTCTTCTAATCATTAAATTGATGATTCAGAGTTTAATTCTTGAAATACTATTTATTTGGCTTTCAGGACCTTGAGAAAACAATCTTTCTTTCTTTTTTTTTTTTTTTTTTTTTTTTTTGGTCTCTCTCTCTCTCTCTTTTCTTTTTTTTTTAAACATAGTCTCCTTGCCCAGGCTGGAGTACAGTGGCACGATCTCGGCTCACTGAAACCTCTGCCTCCCAGGTTCAAGTGATTCTCCTGCCTCAGCCTCCTGAGTAGCTGGGATTACAGGCACCCACCACCACACCAAGCTAACTTTTGTGTTTTTAGCAGAGATAAGGTTTCACCATGTTAGCCAGGCTAGTGTTGAACACCTGACCTCAAGTGATCTGCCTGCTTCGGCTTCCCAAAATGTTTGGATTACAGGCATGAGCCACCACGCCTGGCAGAGAAAACAATCTTTCTAATGTCTGCCCCACATTAATTCTAATTTGTACAATTTCCATTTCCTTAATTTGTATACCATTGTACTACCTGTGGTCCATGTTTGCCTCATATTTTTTAAGTACCTCATTAAAAATAACCTCTCAAATTCTGTTAAAGTGAATACTATGAATATATGGACCTGCATATGAAAGAAAATTCTCCCACATCAAAGCAGATGGCCCATTTATCTCTAGCAATATTAAACATAATGATATTTTGGACTGTGAAATTATACAGACACCCTTTAAGGTTCTATATACTTTTAACCCTGCACCCCCTTTCCATATCTCTGTCCCAGAACTTCCATTAGGTTCTTACCTTTCTGTGAATCAAATGCAAGCGAGGGCTGGGTGCAGTGGCTCACGCCTGTAATCCCAGCACGTGGGAAGGCTGAGGCAGGTGGATCACTTGAGGTCAGGACTTCGAAACCAGCCTGGATGGCATGGTGAAACCCCATCTCTACTAAAAATACAAAATTAACCAGGCTTGGTAGCATGTGCCTGTAATTCCAGCTACTTGGGAAGCTGAGGCATGAGAATCACTTGAACCCAGGAGACAGAGGTTGCTGTAAGCTGAGATTGTGCCACTGCACTCCAGCCTGGGTGATGGAGTGAGACTCAGTCTCAAAAAAAAAAAAAAAAAAAAGCAAGTGCAAAATGCAGAAGTGCTAGGAATCCTGGTAAAATACTCCAACCATTTCTTTCTCTCCCAGGCTGCTGGAGAGAATTAGTGGTAGTCGCCACAAGAAATGAAGGTTTATACAGAAATCTCAGACACAGAAAACTCAGACCAATTACAAGAATCCTCCACACAGCCAAGGAGTCTTCTGCACATCCAAAAAATACATGGGAACCCCAGAATTTGTAGGTTTAGAGGGTCAGCTCCAGTGAATGCAATACAAATGGAGACAGTGAATTCTGAAATTACACCTGGTTTTCTCTAACTAATGCATCTTCTCCTTTCCTTAGACTCCAAATGCAGCAGTTTTTGCTAAGGATATGTAATCTATAAGGCCAGAGAACAGTTCTGTTCATGATTGTAAATAACTAAATCCAGGTCACCTGCACCCTGCACCACATCAGGTAATTCAGCCTACACAGAAGTTGCCCTGAAAGCAAGAAATTCCTTTTTGCTATTGCTTTCATATATTGTGCCACGATATATTGAAGAACCTAAATGGTGGTGGATTTTGGTTATTTGAGGTTATGTATGATTTTTGGAAGGAGTAAAACATCTCTCAGTGTCATACCCAGTCAACTAAAGATAAAGCTAAGCAAACAGTTTTGGGATAGAAGATACCTACAGCATAAGACAGTATTCATTTTTATCCTTTTTTTTTTTTTTTTTTTTTTTTTTTTTGAGACAGAGTCTTGCTCTATCACCCAGGCTGGAGTGCAGTGGCACAATCTCGGCTCACTGCAAGCTCTGCCTCCTAGGTTCAGGTTCACACCATTCTCCTGCCTCAGCCTCCCGAGTAGCTGGGACTACAGGCGCCTGCCACAAGGCCCGGCTAATTTTTTGTATTTTTTAGTAGAGACGGGGTTTCTCCATGTTAGCCAGGATGGTCTTGATCTCCTGACCTCATGAACCACCCACCTCGGCCTTCCAAAATGCTGGGATTACAGGCGTAAGCCACCGCACCCAGCTATCCTATGGTTTTAAAAGCAGTTCCAAAAAGAATTTAAAACACCATTTCAACAACTGTGGTACATTTGGGGGGAAGAAAGTAACAAGCCTCCCTGGGCAAGTACTTTTAAGGATAGCTCTCATGTAGCTATGGGGATTTGGTTTTATTAAAAACCAATATATCAATGTTATTACTGCTCCGTCCCACCCACAAATCAAGATAAACATTTTATAGTCTGTGTTTTCAGTCTAAGATAGTTTAAATATGTGGAGTGAAATGTTTTAAATGAACCATTTATTTGATGAAAACATTACCACACGTATCTGCCTATATAGCATTGTCATAAATTGTGCAAAACAGGTATATCCAATACAGCAAGAATTTTGGATAAATGTCATCTCTAGTGCCCAAATTTGCCCAACATTTGGTCAGATAAGTATTTAACTAGATAAATGATTTATTACAACATATTACTAATATTAAATGTACAAGTACAAATAATATTTGTAAAATATGCAATTTTATTCTGAAATAAATAACAAACACAAGACTTAAATTTTAACAGTTTGGTCCTCTAATGGCTTACATGGTTCATGCATGATTGCAATTTTAAATGGGTTGGGAATCCCAACAACCTGTAAATTGAAAATAAATTTGCCTTCTGATGATGGTTAAATTGTAAAATCTCTACAGACTGAAAAGATTGACTTTTAGACTAGCTAGAATTGACTTGAAACTAAGGGAATCTATTACTATATCTAAAGAAAGAATGTGCCAATCAAAATGTTTTGGTGGATGAACAGGATGAGGAAACGGGGTTATTCAGCCATTAAAGCACCAAAATCTGAAAAGTAGAAAGACTAACCATGGCACTGCCCAGACAAAACACTATCTGAGAGAATAGGAACTGCAGCACAGTCTATGGGGCAGGTGTAGCCAACTGCAGTCAGACCATTTTAGCTCCCTACCATTCAACATTCAACTCACGCAACTAAACTCCTCTTTTCCAATTCATGAATAAATTCACTAGAATTCTCATGTCTCTTTTCATATCCTTAAAGATTATAATTACCATTATGGAATTAAAAATCTATATTCTCATATCATACTTTTTGAATTATGTATCCCTGGGAGGTCACACCTAGGATATGAATCTGTTCTCAGTACACTGACCAAACCATGTTTCTATGACTTAAAGATTAAACTACTACTACCACACTGAAACTACTACCGAGTGGGAGCAGCTCAAAACCAGTGGATCAGGAGAGTTGAAGATTTGAAGGAGAGTGGTTAAAGAAAGGGGAAAATTATGTTTGCTGAATAGAAGGGTAGGAGAAGGTGGGAGGAGAAAAGGAGAGATTTTATGAGGTCAAAGAACAGGTATTGCAGCGGTCACTGAGTAATTCAGAATCTAATTGCTTTTCAACAGTTTGGACCTTACAGAAATATGTGAGAAAATATAGGAACAATCTTTTTGTACAGCCTTCCCTGAGTTCAATTAATTCAGTCAGAATGTAGATCATTTACTTAAATACCGAAGTTTGACAAATTAAAGGCCAAGGTGTTTGAATCCTGGAAATACATTCAATTCCCCCCAAAACATCTCTTAATAAAAAGTGAGCAAACAAATTGAATGCCCTTTTCAATCATTTCCTATTAGATTAGTAAATAAGGAATAAGTAATGCCATCACTTGTGAAGGTTATCACCTCCAGTATGGTAATTACCAAAATGAAAACTGGAGTAAACATGGAAAGGAAAATAGACCTAGGAAAATATGAAAGTAGAACCTGGTATACATCCAAGAAATCTTATCACATATTGGCATGGCAAAAAGTGGTCCTTTAGGAAATTCTGATTTCATTTCACTCTAATCATATGTGATATATCCAAACTGAGGAGACAGTGGGTGTAAATATATTGCTAGTATTGGCATCTCAAACAGAAAGAATGCAAATATCATTTCCAATAATCCAAGCAAGTGTTTAATTATCTTACAAAATAACCAAAAAATGTTTTCAAAGAATGTCTTATAATTATATAGCAAAATTCTTCTGGGGGTATTTTTTCTTAAAATGTTCTAGACACCATATAACATATTAAATATTTTTCCATGTGCTAAAAAGATGCTAGCAATGAGTAGCTCAGAAACATATATCTTGCCTGTTCCCTAAGTCACTTATTCACCTGCCTAAGTTGATTCTGCAAGTGAGCGTTAATAAAAAAAAGACAGACAAGCGATGGTTGTGATGATGATTCTTGTTTTACCTATTTAAAAGAAAATCTCATTAGTTTGGATTTGCTTCAAGTGTGAACAAAAATGGAATCAGTCTAAACAAAAAGATTCTGATGATACCACCATTCTAGGTTAAGGTCATTACAACACACACACACACACACACACACACACACACACTTCAGATTTCTAAAGCAAGATGAATGTCTTGCTATACAATGTTTTCTTGAACTGTGAAACTGACTATTCAATAAAAATCTGGGAATAACTATAACTATCAATATTTTTATAAATAGAAGAGGCACTTATTTATGCAAAATGATTGAAGTGCAACCCTTACTTCAAAAAGAATATGATGATCATAGGTACTCTAATTTTTTTGGATTCCATTAACTATTGCCCATTCTTTAAAAGATTCTATTATTTTAGATTTAATAGGTTAGATTGCTATAAATCTGTTTATTTTTCTGGAAACCTACATATCTTACTGTACTTATTTTAGTTTGTAAATGTCATTATTTGAAATGTTGACTTTTTTTTATACTATTATCTAGTGTGTTATAAAAACATTAATAAAAGTTTTCTGGGAATTCAATTGGTCTATCAAGTATACCGTATAAACAAAGTACTTTTGTAAGCACTGTGAGGCATACCAAAGTGCTGAACAATCTATATCCTTTATAACTTACTTTGTGTTTTAAAACAAAGTAATGTATGAGTAAAGAGACAACTAATGTGATAATGCTTTATATTTTATAAAAGAACCAACCGATTATCTAAACATAATAGTCTAATAACCCAAAATGCAAGCCATAAATACTCTTTGACTACACATGAGTTTTCTGCATGTGGCTTCATAGATGCAGTCTGAGTAACAATAACAAGTTTATGCAGATACATAATAAAATGAACTTAATGTAGAATACATATAAGCCAACTTCCCAAAAGAGCAGTAATGCCAAAGAAACCCAGTTTTAATTATAAACATATATTAACAGGTTTCCTAAAGTGGTTTCCATTTTAACTTTTGGAATAGCAAATTTAAAAGATGTAACAGCATCTTTTGCTTTATTACACACCTTTGTTATTAGTGCAACAAAAGAAAGAACAGTGTGTAAATTCCTGGAGTACAACCAAATGAGTCATCTATTCAATTTGCTTTAATTTTCTTTAGTAGGAGAGTCAGGGAACTATTACACCATGTGAATAAGGCTTACATTTTTAAATTGTATCTTCCTCATTGTCAGTATCTTTCTAAGATTTTCTGAATCAAATAAAATGGCTGATTCATGCTACATTGCATGAATATGAAGTTCTCCTATTAACTAGCATGGACTGATGGTTTACATTCCTAATATGTCCAAATGACTTCAATATCATTTTTATAATGCAATTACATATTAAAATGCATATTTTCACATTGATAATGCCAACATAAACAAACCTGAGAAGTCCCTGTTAAAGTTGGTATGTTCCAATTGCCTGGGCTTATATTCAAGGCTTTGTGCATAGTAATTGACTGCACAAACAATTCATCCTGGAAGAGTTCTTCATGCCTCTTATTATCCCCAAATCAATTGACATAATTTATAACATATTCTCAATTAAAGTTAAATCAGAAACCTGAAACCTCCAACTCTAGATTGGTTTACTATGTAGCTGTTATCAGTAGCAACATTTTAAATATTTCAAAAGATACTCTTGAATTATGGGAAATACAAAACAAAATAAATAACTTGCTTAGAAATAATAATAAAAAATTAGTTTAAGATGATCTATGTCACTTCCCAAAGAACAGACAGAAATTATTTTAGCAACAATTTTATGTTTTTGTTTTTCTGTTTGTAAATTTGACTTCCAAATGCATTTATTTTTTGATAGCAATGAGTATGTAACCTATATTACTAACTGAAGAGGTAATTTAATGTATTTATTCTACTTTAAGTATATACCTTTATAATAAAGTATTAATAACTTTTGTATAAATATATATTTACAGTTCCTAGAGGGAAAATCTCAATAATGTCATTGCATTTTGGGTTGGAATCTTAGTTAATTCTTGTATTGAAAGGTATAACCAAAAAATTGCTAATTCAGGCTGAGGCAGGTCGATCAGGAGGTCAAGAGATTGAGACCATCATGGCCAACATGGTGAAACTCTGTCTCTACTAAAAATACAAAAATTAGCTGTGGTGTGTGCCTGTAGTCCCAGCTACTCGGGAGGCTGAGGCAGGAGAATCGCTTGAACTCGGGAAGTGGAGGTTGCAGTGAGCCGAGATCGCGCCACTGCACTCTAGCCTGGTGACTGAGCAAGACTCTGTCAAAAAAAAAAAAAAAAGAGCTAATTCAAAAATAAGTTATAGTCCATATATGATTTTGAAATTGAGCTTTTTAGAAACAAAGTCAAACATGTTTTTTCTAGAAACAATTCCATAATATTGGCTAAAATATTTTAAATAGTGCAACTGATACTGTATTAAAGGAAATTTAAGTTAATCTCATTTTTGTGCACAGGCATTGGAACCTGAAAAAATTGAAATTTTGGGTCACAGAAACATAGCAAGAGGTAAGATGCCTTATTCTTTTAGAGGTGACAATTTTTTCATGATGGTGAGTGACTAATTTAACTTCTTGACTGTATAAATTTGTATGGATAAAAATTAATTTTCTAAGCCAACAACTTCTAGATCTCAACTGGAGATAAAAAAAATTGGAGAAATCAGGGAAATATGGGGACATCAGATATAAATATACTCATTTTAATATATAAGCATTGTTCATATTTTGATCATCGCTTGGGTTCTCACAAATCACTGACTATATATCAGGTTTGTCATCAATTCTTAGTGTGCTTGTGTTCATTTTCAAAATAATTGTCATCAAGCGTTTTCATGACATCTTAATGGGTACAGTAAAATATACAAACACAACCAAGGGAAGATTATAGAAGAAGTGAAATTGTCACTACTTCCAATTTTGCCTGATTCTATAAAGGTATAAAAGACAAATTAAGATTTTGAAGCTACAACCAAAACAGACAATGTAAGGCAGTTTTCAGGTTCTGAAATCATTTCCTGTGTATTGCTTCATTTTTATCTTGATCATTACATATGCCAAAAAGACAAGTAGTGGAGAAGCTACGGTCTCTATTTTTGCCAAATAAGGGAATTGAGGCTTGGAATTCAGAATTTGCCCAGTCACAAGGCAAGTACTTGTTAGAGCCAGAATTGTCTTTTGATACCTAAACGAATTCATATTGCTTTGGAAATTGTTACACAGATACATGCTACAGATGCAGAGTTATACAATCCTATACCTACATGAGATTGTGTATATAAACAATTGCAGTAGGTAGCATTCCAGATCTCCATGATCTTCATCCCTTGATGTTATACCCATTAAATATGTCACATTACCTGGCAAAAGGGATTTAGCAAATACAGGTAAGACTCCTAATCAGCTAACCTTAAAATGAGAAGATAATCCTAAATCTGCACATTACAATTGTTCTTTTATGGGGCCATTTATATAGTACCCCAAATAATGTTTTAAATTATGACTTTATTTTTAAAAATTAATATATTATATATACATGATAAATCTCACACTACATAAATTTCATATGGAATCCTGCAACAGGTTAATTTTAGTTATAAATGTTGTTACTTTAGAAATAGGTACAAATTGATACAAATTAGCCTAGCAATTTTCTAACCCGAAACTTTAATACCTATTTTTTAATTCATCCAAACCACTTAATTAATCTCATATATATTTTTGGTCTGTTCTTTGGGAAACCATAGAGTGTTATACCAATCCTTAAAACATGTTTGTATATTTATGTCTTATACTTAACTTAAATATCTTCTCTAATGGAAAGTATTGGGTTTTGAGGGGTTGTTGCTGTTCGCTTGTTTTGAGAGGAGGAGGTAGCAAAAATAAATTATTTAAAATGCAAACAATTATTGTATATTAAAATCTTAAGTGCAATATGCACTTATTTTTTATTCATTTTTGAGGTATATATGATATTTAAATAAATTTGAACTGCTAAAAGATAGGAAGTAGTAAAGAGTTTTCTGAATACTAAGTACTGAACACAGAAACAACCAGCCATGAACTAGTAGATTACAAAAAACTTTCATGCTCATGGCCACCTTCATTTTAAAATCCAGTTCTGTTGCATAGAAACTTAGCTCTAAAACAAGAACATATTCCAATTGTTTTTCATTTTAACATCCTGAGTTCCACCTTTAAAAAATCTTCCTTTTATACCATATTTACAATTAAGACCTCTAAAGCAAAATGTAAAATAAAAACAACCTTAGATATTTTAGTAGTTTCTGTTATAAGTTATAAATCAAGACACAACTTATAGTCTATCTTCAGAATGGAAAGTAAGCACATCTAGGTGGAAAGAGTAAAAAGAAAGCAGAGACCACCTGATGACTTAGGAGACATTAATTAATATTCTGTTACAGTCAAGTACTCCCCAAATGCAATAATTTAAAGTCAGAAACATAATAAAAACATATATCATATCAATTCTAGGATTGCTAACCTTTGCCAATCAGTGAATTTTTCAGAACATTCCAGGTTCCTATATCTTGCCTATACCATTCTCTTTTGGATTGTGTCTCAGAATAACTTTCCCCTTTTAACAGCCAGACCACAATTAAGAAAATAATAATACCAGATGTTTATTGAGGACCTGTATTGTGCCAGCATTTGTAAGCACATTACATGGGTTATTTCTTTTAATCTCTACAACAGCTCTATTAGATTGCTATTGCTTTATCCACACTCGAGGAATGAGGAAACAGGTTATGTATATAACCTCTAAAAGGTATCAGGGCAAATAAATGTTTCATCCAGGATCCAATTCCTAGTCTATCTGATTAGAAAAATCTTTCTCTTAACCAATACAATACACCAACATGCCAGAAAGTTATAGCTCAAAGACTGAAGTCTTTTTGATAAGTATTTTGCCAAAAAGTAAAAAAATATATATAAAATAAAATAAAGAAAAACAACAGTTTATTAACCAATTATTTTTCTAAAATCAGAATGTGTACCAAGTATTGTGCTACAGCACTGGAGATACTATACTGTCGCCACCAGCACCACCACCACCGTCACCATCACCATCATCATCATGATCATCATCATATCCATCATGGGCCACAGATATGGTTCTATGCACTTAACCTCTATTAAACCCTTAAAATAACCTTACAAGTCAGGCTCTATTATTATCCCCGTTTTACACATGAGAAAACCAAAGTTAGTAATCCGTTGAAGCAGAAAATGTGACTCTTGAAACCTAGGAGCTTTACTTTGTCTAATGCTTACTTCTTTACTTCATAGTTACCATTCTCTATGTAGATTTCTGTGATCTGTTTTGTACATTTTTCTTTCACATTATTCTATAAATATGTAACTCTCTATGAACATTTTAATGGTACATATAATATGTGCTAATAAATTAGAAAATATTGTTAAACTGTTCTATTGTATCAGAAATGATAAATTATCAAAAACGGAAAGGGGATAACAAGAAAGTATTCCACTAACTACGAAAGACTCTAGAAACAGTATACACAAAAGTACCCACCAAACAGATCAGACTGCTAGTAGGTGAGTTATTTCAAAACTTAAGGAACAGAAAACTCATGCAGTATTTAAAGTGTTTCAGAGAAGAAAAGCTCCCCAAGTAATTCTATCCGTCTGGCATTTTTTCCAATACCAAGCTTAATAAAGTTAGTATAACATGTCATTTATGAAAATAGATGCAAATGTCCCAACAAAAATATTAGCAAATTACATTCAGATATATTTTAAATAATTATCCACAATGGCACAAACATATAACAAAATACAATAGTTAAAACCAAGTACTACTGACACACTAATAGAGAAGTAGCTTAATAAATAAGTCCCTGAAAAGATGCAAATTATATCATAGCATTTAGTGTATAATACATGTTTCTTTTTCTAACAGTTGTTTTAAGTCATGTGGGGAAGCACAGATAACAGTTTGGTAGGAAAAACAAATAGCATTTCTTATACTCTTAAATATAATGCCAACAGCAGAAATCATAAAGGGAAACACAAGCATATTTTATAAAATAAATCTGTTTTAAATTTAATGACTTTTTTTTTTTGAGACAGGGTCTTGCTCTGTCACCTCCCAAGCTGGAATGCAGTGGTGTGATCACAGCTCATTGCAGCCAACTTTAACAACTTTTAACAAACATAGTAAGTGCAATATAAAGGCAAATAAAATGTGAGAAAACATATTTGCAATACCTCACTTCCTTAATATTTTTGAGCAATGAGACTGAATCTCAGCACTCAATATAAAAAGGGAATCTGAGCTAGGAGCGGTGGCTCATGCCTGTAATCCCAGCACTTTGGGAGGCTGAGGCAGGAGGATCACTTATGGTCAGGAGTACAAGACTAGCCTGGCCAACATGGTGAAACCCTGTTTCTACCAAGAATACAAAAAATTAGCTGGGCATGGTGGCACATGCCTATAATCTGAGCTACTTGGGAGGCTGAGACAGGCGAATCCCTTGAATCCAGGAGGCAGACATTTCAGTGAGCCGAGATGGCTCCAGTGCACTCCAGCCGTAGATGATGGAGCGAGACTCTGTCTAAAAATTTCTACCCCATCCTTTCAACCAACTAGATAATTTGCTTGTTTATTTTCCGTTTCTCTCCATTACAATATAAGCTCTATGTGAGAAAAGATTTTCAGCTTTTTGATCACTGTAATTTTGGCACTCAAAACACTTCTTACATCTGTCTGAGTTTAATAAAATGTTGTTGAATAAGTACAACTATAAGGTGAATGGATTCCCAGAAGATTCTGAAGTAGGAAGCACCAAGAATCTGCCTCCCTACCTAGGCAAAAATTGCACTGGCAGAATTTGTCTGATGTAACTATTTTGAAACTCTGGAATCTATTGAGGGCTTGAAACTTTCAGAGGATGCTTTTTTACAAAAAAATTTTAAAGACCATCCTAAGACCATATGAAATCTTGAAAAAGAAGAACCAATCTGGAGGACTCACACTTCCTTATTTTAAAACTTACTGCAATGCTACAGTAATCAAAACAGTGTGGTCTGACACGAAGAGAGACATAGAAACAAATGGAATAGAATAGAAAGCTCAGAAATAAAGTTTCACATATATGGTGAGAGGATTTTTGACAAGCGTGCCAAAGCCATTCGATATGGATTGTCAATGGGGAAAGGACAGGTTCTTCAACAAATGTTGCTGGTAGAACTGAATATCCATATATAAAAGAATGAAGTTGAGCACTTACCTACATCGTATACAAAAATGAACTCAAAATAGATCAAATATAAATCTAAGATCTAAAACTTCAAAACTCTGAGAAGACAAAATAGGGTAAAAATTTCACAACATTAGATTTGGCAATGATTTCTTTGATATGACACGAAAGGCACAGGCAACAAAAGAAAAAATAAGCAAATTGGACTTATAAACATTAAAAAGTTTTGTATATCCAAATAAACTACCACAGAATAAAAAGGCAACCCACGGAATGAGAAAAAAAATTTGCAAAACATATCTGATAAGGAATTAATATCCAGAATATATAGAGAACTTTAAAACTCAACAACAACAAAAACAACTCGATTCAAAAATGGGCAAAGGAATTGAACAGATGTTTTCCCATAGAAGATATACAAATGGCCAATAAACACATGAAAAGATGCTCAACATCACTAATAGTTGGGAAAATGCAAGTCAAAACTAAAATGAGATACCATTTTACACTAATTAAGATGACTACTGAAAAAATAAAAACCTAAAAAGCATAAAATAAAAAGTGTTGTAGAGTATGTGCACTCTTGGTGGGGATGTAGAATGCTATAGCTGCTGTGAAAAACACTATGAAAGTTCCTCCAAAAATTAAAAATAGAATTACCATAGAATCCAGCAATTACATTTCTGGGTATATAACAAAGGAATTGAAAACAGACTCTGAAAGGGATACTTGTGAAGCCATGTTCATAGCAGCATTATTCACAATAGCAAAAACTTAGAATATATATGTATATATAATATATATAAACATACACACACATATAAATATACACACACATATAAATATACACACACAACATATGCATACATATATACATACATACCACAAGGGAATAGTATACTATTTTGCCTTAAAAAGGAACGACAACACAACATACACATACATACATATATAAACAAAGGAATTCTATTTTGCCTTAAAAGGGAAGAACATTCTAACGTATGCTACAAAACAAATGAACCTTGAAGACATTATGCTAAGTGAAATAAGCCAGTCTCACAAATAAGGTATGATTCCATTTACATGAGGTACTTAGAGACTTAGAGTAGTCAAAATCACAGAAACAGAAAGTAGGATGGTGGTTGTCAGGGGCTGGGAAGAGGGAGAAATGGGGAATTATTGTTTAATGAGTATGGATGGGGTTTCTGCATTACAATATAAAGAGAATTATGGAGATGGATGGTCATAATGATTGCACAACATTATAAATGTATTTAATATCACTAAACTGTACACCTAAAAACATGATTGACATAGTAAATTTCATGTTATGTGCATTTTACTATAATAATTAAATTGAAAATTAAACCCCCAAACGCTGTATGATATGATCCATTTTATGGTTAAACATATACTTAAAGATACTTATTTAGCTAAACAAGTCTCAAAGTACAGACGCCAATATGTCATCATTATACCTTTTCATCAATGAGTGTATACTTGCTTATGGGTTACAAAATACTTGAAATTTTAAAACAAAGACTAGAAATTAACTGCCTTTCCTCAAACCAAACAACGATAATTGCCAAAGCCTTTTTCTTAACACATAAACAGGAGCAAAGTATTAGATTTTACAGTTTTTATTTTATACACCTTTTTCCATTCTATACCTTTTTAGAAAGATATGTCTATTTTAGACTTTTAGATTTAGAAGTGGAAATCACACAATTACCAGGGTCTCAAACATGTAAATTGTTTCAGAACTATTGAGGCATTTAAGAAAGGTAGAAATACAGTTGCCTAAAGGGGAATAAATAGCAGTTTGCAGTGACATACAGATTGTCATTACACAAACAACTCTAAACAGAGCTGTTTAGAAGGTTCTCAGCTCCTCGGCAGACACAGTTCCCAGGTGTTGTCTCTTCCCCTCTGCCAAGTACTTCTGCTTTTAGCAGGTGTGACTGCATGGTGGGAGGAGGGAAAGAAGTTATGCTTGGAGGAAAGTTATTGCTGCTGGAGCTGATGGGAGTAACTGTCAGGGCACTGCGGCAATTAGTAGATCAGAGGGCTACCTGCAGCTCCTCCATATGATAATTAAAAACACCACTAAGTACTTTGTTTTTGTTGCACATACTTTTCCTGTCAAACCTGGATAATAAAATAAATAAAGTTTACTGTCTAGCTCCCATATAGTATTAAAAGTATTTTATTGTAATTTGGCAACCACAGATAAAACCTGAATCTTCCTTTTAAACTGTTTATAAATTAGACAGCTATGGAAACAGTAGGTCACTTAATCTATTCAGCTCTTAGAGTTTGCCACTACTAAAGTATTTATTGCTTTTTAATAATGTACCATTTGTACCATGATTCACAAGTCAATGCATCAGTGCATCAAGTAGATAACAATTTATTAAATAACTTAATGGGTCTATCAAAGGAACACATTTTTAACGATAAAAAGATGTATATACCAGCAGAGTTGTTCTTCATGCATGCATGCATGCATGCATAAAGTCAGAAAATAAATATTAACTGAGTGCCTACTATATGTAAGGTACCACGTTTGGAGCTGGGTATACATTAAGGAACAGAGATATTCTTCCTGCCTTCATCAAGCTTACAGTCTATTGGAAATAAGATAAAAAATAAATGAGCAAATAAATGATTATATAACTATGATTTTTGAAAAGTGTTATAATATATTTAATAATGGTACAGTGACAGAATAATAACAGGGAAATATGATGTGTATGTAAGTGTGTGTGTGAGCATGAGTTACTTGGATAAGATGACCAGAGAGAGATTCTCCCAGGCTGTGCAGTTTAAGCTGAGGGATGAGTTAGAAACAGAAAATCTGCAACATATAGCAAGAGATACATATAGATAAAAAGTATATATATATATATATATATATGTGTGTGTGTATATATATGTGTGTATATATGTATGTGTGTATATATATGTGTGTATATATATGTGTGTATATGTGTATATATATGTGTGTGTATATATATATATATATAGAGAGAGAGAGAGAGAGAGAGAGAGAAAGAGAGAGAGAGAGAGAAAATAATTTCAAGAAGATCATGAATACTTAAAGACCCCCTACCAATATGAAATAAAAAAAGCTAAGGGCAGAAATTTGTGTGTTGCATTATTATTTAGTACATATGTACATGATAAAAAATAACAATAAATAGCATAATAATATTATGTGTAAGAAATGAAGTTAGGTTACTCCATATCTGAGGGGAAAGCATATCTCATATAATAGAAGTAAGAATTATACTAAATAAAGAATGAAAAAAATAAGTAAAATTCCAGTGAAGGCAAATGCAGCATAAAATTATGAAAAATAATATATATTCTACCTACATATCATTTGAAAATGTGTGGCCTGACAGAAAAAATTAACTAGCAAAACAATAAATTAAACAATAAACCATCACTTCCTATCTTCTTATTCATTCCCTTTAGAACCCCAATTCAAACTTTCAGTCCCACCACGATCTATGGATCCCATCACTTTTTGATAGTACTCATTTTATTAGTGCCAGAGATGGGAAAAGAACTTTAGAGACTATCTTAGTTTGAGATTTAATGTTAATTTAAAGATTAAAAATTCAGAATGTAGCTTCAAAAATTAAAAAATACAGACTAACGTATGTGGCGGTATTTTAGGGAAGCACATCCTTGGAATTCTCTTGAGTTTTTGGCAAGCCTGTTGAATAAATATGTAGGCTACTTGGACGGATTCCAAATGAAACAACTAAAATGATGAAAGGAATGGCTTACAAGGACAGATTAAAGGAAAAAATATGTACGACTTCAGCATGTCAGAAACTAAAAAAGAAACATTATGGTTTACAAATATTTGAAACATGTAAACTTGAGGAAAAACAAGAACTTTGTGTACAAGGTACACAATTATGAGTATATTAAAAGGAGAGATGAAACTATTCCCCTGGTAATAATGTTAATTGTTTTACAGTGAGAACATTTGGACAAATGACCCATGGATGGGCAAGAATTAAAACCGCCAAGCAGACATATTCGACATTCCTAGTAACCTAAACTATGCAGACTTCAAAATACGTAGAGGGCCATCTGAACAAGATAAAGTAGGTCAGGGAACAACTGCAGAAATCTTCCTATCCCCCAGCTGTGTTTTAAATTTAGAAGGAATTCTTCCGTGGATTTGGGGCTTTTCTCTGTAAGTGTGCTACAGTGAAAAGATTCCTCGATTTGGATCTATAAGACCTAGTTTTGAGTGCTGATTACTTATTCTATTCTCAGTCCATGTCCTCATCTGTCAACAGGGATAATAAAAACGCCTTAGGTTGTTGTGGGTTTTAAAAGAGCTGTTTCTATGAACACATATTATATGTACTTAAAAGCATTGATCTTAATGAGATACATCAATTATTATTAAGATTGTAATGTGTCAAAAGCTGTAGGATGAAGACAGTCAAAGAGAATAATGCCTGAGACTAGGCAATTATATATCTGCATTCTGCTTAGAGTAAATCGGCTCTCCTCCAGGATACCTTGCAGCCCTCTTAACTGGATACTGTTTTTCCTCATATAACTTCTGGGTCTGAACATGTGGTACCAGTTCCTTTGCTGCTCCAGGCCATGTCCAGAACATTTTCCCTCCTCTCTCTCTAAAAACGCCCAGTTTTAATTTCATGTCATCTTTGCTCCTCTACCATTCCTTAGTATAAGTACTCCTGATCTCTGAACTACACCCCGTCATTCCTTAAAGATTTCTGTTTTTGGTTTGCTGTCATCCTCCCCAACATTTCTTGGGGCACAAGATTTTGGGATTTTAATAACCACAAAGATGATTTTTCCAACACCTGGCCATTCGGTGCCAATTTTCTTCCAATCATCATGTCTTCTACCCTCCCTGAATCATAACTTCTATAGCCATACTCTCATGTTTGTAATTACCAAAATTTTAATTACATTGGAATTATTACGATGCCTCCAAAATCTTTTTCCTCCAACCATCACTTCCTGTCTTCTTATTCATTCCCTTTAAAACCCAATTCAACCTTTCAGCCCTTCCAGGATCTATAGATGCTATCACTTTTTGATAGTACTCATTTTCTTAGTGCCAGAGATGGAAAAAAGACTTTAGAAATTATCTTAGTTCGAGATTTCATAAAGCAACAATGGTGAAATCATCCAGATAAAGCAAAAATGGGTGTAATCAACAGAGAAATTTGTAAGTGGGTAAATACTTCTGGAAATGCATAACCACAGAGACCAGGTTGGGAAAAACACATAAGAAGGATTAGAAATTAGAGTAGTGACCAAGAGTAGGGTCAGTAGGAATGAAGGGTGAGGAAAGGTAAAAGCTAGAAAATTCTGGTAAGAGACAGAAACTCTGAGAAATTTAAAATACTGGTAGCTGAGTAATTTCATGTGATGCGAAAATCTAATAAATAGCATTGCCAGTAGGTACTTAAAAACAGAGATGGGAATCATTAATGTTGGGATCTTCCAGGAAGTTTAATATCAGAATGTTAAAAGGGCTACAAGCTCATATGTGAAAGTTTTTAAGGGGACGAATGATGGAGAAGAAACAAGGTTCTGAAGCCACTGAGGAAGTAAAGCATGTTATGAAGGTTAGTAATGGGCTCCAAAGGGGAAAGAAAGTGTTATGTGCTAATGGAAAGAAAGAAAGTGTTAATGTTGAGAAGCAATTTGAAATAGTTTTTGAAAAAGCAAGCAGTATGCCAACCTCTCCTTTTTATCTCTTGAGTCCAAGAACTGGAAAAAAAAAAAAAAGCACAACTATAATTACCTCAAGTAAAGTAGTACAGAAGAAAGGAGTAAAAAATAAGTTGGAATCAGAACATATAGATTCAAATTGAAACTACTTACTCCTTGAATTCCAGGTCATACAACTTTTTTGAATCTCAAGTCCTTATCTGTTAAATTAGATTAAGAATATGTTCTCTGCTTATGTTCCCTAAAGTAGAAATGTTTCCTAAAGTGGAAAATACTTATGTTTCCTAAAGTGGAAAATGCTTACGAAATTTTAACCACTCTTTTATTATTTTGGGGGAATAAATATAATAATGCATGTGGAGGTAAATTTCAACAGTTAAACAATTTACAGCTATACCAAGGAAGAAAATGACGAGGATGAGCTCATGTTAGATGGCATATGATATGGTTTGGCTCTGGGTCCCCACCCAAATATTATCCCAAATTGCAATCCCCATGTGTTGAGGGAGGGACCTGTAATCCCCAAGTGTCCAAGGAGGGAGGTGACTGAATCATGGAGGTGGTTTCCCCTGTGTTGTTCTTGAATAGTGAGTAAGTTCTCAGGAGATTAGATGGTTTTATAAGTGTTTGGAAGTTCCTCCTTCCCTATTCCCTCTCTTGCTGCCACGTGAAGAAGGTCCTTGCTTCCCCTTCGGCTTCCACCATGATTGTAAATTCCTGAGGCCTCTCCAGCCATGTGGAACTGTGAGTCAATTAAATTAAACCTCCTTCCTTTATAAATTACCCAGTCTCGGGTATTTCTTTTTTTTTTTTTTCTTTTTTTCAGACGGAGTCTCTCTCTGTCACCAAGCTGAAGTGCAATGGCATGATCTCGGCTCACTGCAACTTCTGCCTCCCAGGTTCAAGCAATTCTGCTGCCTCAGCCTCCTGAGTAGCTGGGACTACAGGCACACACCACCACGCCCAGCTATTTTTTGTATTTTTAGTAGAGAAAGGGTTTCATCATGTTGGCCAGGATGGTCTCGATCTCTTGACCTCGTGACCCGCCCACTTCAGTCTCCCAAAGTGCTGGGATTACAGGCATGTGCCACTGCGCCCAGCCTTCGAGTATTTCTTTATAGCAGTGTGAAAATGGAATAATACAGCATAATTCTCATTGTTTTGTAAAATACTTAAAATGATTGCAGTTTGAAGTTTTTTTAAAAAAATAAACCATATTTTGGTTGAATAATTCTTCACATAAACCAGAAAAAAAAATATTCTAATTGATGTGGTTTGAGATTATTTGGTGCTTTTGTTTGGCTAAAACTTCTTAATGGGGTTATGTGGAAATAAAATTAAATGAGGATGAGATGTAAGGCAAATTAAATATCTTCATTACACTAGGAGAAATAAAAACCTTGTTAACCTCTAAAGTCACTTTGTACTACCTGATGTATCTGAAAATTACAGAGAAAGCATGCTTCTACACATCACATTGAATAGCAATGAAACAATGTAGAGGAGCAATGAAATCCTAGAAAATTAAAATAAATCAAAAAATTGTGCTGAAATCAAACTAAATGGCAAGATTTAAAGAAAATGTATTTCAAACCACTTCCCAAGTGCTCATCTTCTTACCAGTGATGCATTCTAACACATTAACACTTTCTGACCAAATGAATGAGCATACTCTTTTATTTCTGAATGTGAAAAAAGAACTTTACACTTTACCAACCTAAATTTGAAATTTTTAAATTATTGTCCCAAGAGAATAAGTATAATTTAATCCTTCTAAAATAATTACTAGTGAAATAATGGTTAGACATAATGTGTGTTTTACAAATAATAAAATCATTTAACAAAATATCTCCATGATATACAAGATGTGTCACTCACTGAGACAGAGCATCGCCTAATAGTTAAGAGGACAAGCTCTAGATCCTAATTTTAACATGCTACTTAGTAGCTCTATGATCTCTATATCTCCATTTTCTCATTTATATTTCAATAATAATAGCACCTGCCTCAATAGTTTTGAGAATTAAAGATGATAATTAGAACAGTGGAACACATAGTATGCAGTCAATACATGTTAGACTTGAAAGATATTAGAAAGAATGTACCTTGTTAACTTATCTAAGACTCTTAATGCTGACATGATGGTGGTCCCTAAGTAATGAAAAGAAAGCAAAAAAAATAAAAACACAAAATGATGCCTGAAAAATTACTGTTTCTAGGCCAAAATCAAATTTAGTCAGAAATGTCAGAACCTTGCACCTAAAAAAGGGAAAAATCACTTAGAAGCAGCTTTTCTTTTAATTGAAGGTTCATAACAAACACAGTTAAGTACTTTATATCCTGCCTGCACTTGAATATTATATTATCAACAGTGCTCTTGCAGGAGTGTTGAGAAATATTTTCAAAGTAGGCTCATTCTACAACACACATTATAAGGAATAGTTATGTAAGAAAGTGAAAAACACAGCTTTTAAAGTTCCTGAAACTACTTTGACCTATTTTTATATATAAGAGACACACTGCTGTTTAAAATGTGCAAGTACGTTTACAGGCAAACTGATGGGGGTGGGTAGCTACATTCAATTCAGTATATATTAAGTGTCTGTTTGGGTCTTCTTGTTTGTTTTGCCTGGTACTATTCTAAGCCCTAGCTCAGTAGAAAGCACAAAACATGAAACAAGAACTTGGTATATAAACATTAAAGCACTGCGAATGGTAATTTGGTTTTTGTTTGTCTGTAAACAACATTCCAGAAAAGTTAGCGTTTATAATACAGAAGTTAAACTATAGAAAGATAAATAAACAGAAAAAATAGCATAGTTAAAATTAAAGTTCATATAGTATTTGGAAAGAAAATGTGATAAAGAGTGCAGCAGAGGCCGGGCGCGGTGGCTCACGCCTGTAATCCCAGCACTTTGGGAGGCCAAGGCGGGTGGATCACGAGGTCAGGAGATTGAGACCACCCTGGCTAACACGGTGAAACCCCGTCTCTACTAAAAATACAGAAAAATTAGCCGAGCCTGTAGTCCCAGCTATTCAGGAGGCTGAGGCAGGAGAATGGTGTGAACCCGGGAGGCGGAGCTTGCAGTGAGTTGAGATCGCGCCACTGCACTGCAGCCTGGGTAGCGAGACTCCGTCTCAAAAAAAAAAAAAAAAAAAGAGTGAAGCAGAGATGTGAGCACAGACCTAAGGCTCAGGCCTGTAGGTGGGAGACTGCTCTACATTACAGAGAGGGATCTGTCCATTTATTTCAAATAAAAAATATTCTCCAATGTTTCCACTCAATTGTTTTGGACTTTCCTGATTGTGTCATGAGCCCATTTCATCCTGGCTGACCTCAAATAATCCCCAGAATCAGTAAAATCTAAATGGTTCCCCTGACCTAAAATACAAGAGGGGATTTAAAGGATTATTTTGCATTCCCAAAATATACCACTTTGTTAAATACCAAGCACAAACCTTAAGGAATGCATGGTGGCCTAACCCCATTTAGAGATTATCATCTTCAAATCAAGCATATATCATCTAACAAGAGATTAAAACCTTGGTCTTCCCATTTATGAAATATTATATCATATTAAATTATTTTAAGAGATCAATCATTTTGATACAAACCTGTTTTGGAAAAGATAAAAGGCAAAGCTAAGTCAATCTTCTTTCTCCATAGTAACAACCACATTCAAAAGTGCTTTAGTGCTTAAAAAGCCGTCACCTAAATTCTTGTACTTAAATCCTCCATTCTAAGTCACACACTATAAATCTGAACAATTCCTACACAGTTACTATCACTATAATAATGCATATTTTAAAACAAAATAGCAGCACATTTTCTAAAATATAACCAAATAATTGCAGGACATTTTATCTACATTGTAAGGTCTACTTCTTTTTTACAAAATTCAGTTTTGTGTCTTCTAAAACTTTATTACCTTAGAAGAAAAATAATTTTAAAATACCAACATTTTATTTGACACAACGGGAAAAGTCTTAAATAAGTACATTGTTCAGATATCTAGCTATTTCACCATTAAGCAGGTTTTCAAGCTTAAACATTTTTGACCAAGTCTTTTTTTAAATAATGTATACATTTCACTGCATTTGCACCCAAAAAATGTTGAACATCTTGCAGTGAGGCTTTCTCTAGGTCGCAAAACCAGCATTATCACCAGTTATTGCATTCTCTTATATGGTGATACACTTACCACTCCCCACCCCAAACCCTCCCAACTGCATGTACCCAGTTTTTTGTACTGCAAAGTATCACTGCTTTTACATATACTATTCGAGTCTCCTCTTTGTCTAAAAGTTGGCATGTTTTACTGCTCTGATTAAGCCTGACCTATTACTTCATATGCTTTTCACTTTCTGGATTCAGTTTATAGAGGACCCAGAAACTTGAAAGCCAAGAGAAATAAGCTTTTCTATGATACATGATCTAAGACCTAACTATGACATCTATTTTTGTGGTCAGAAGTTTCTGATTCTTTATCCTAGGTTCTCAGCTATGTGGTATGTGGATGAAGCTTCAAGGCAAGTGGCTTCTCCACAAGTGAAGTGGATATAAATTACTGTATACTTGATAGCTTTAGGCAGGACAGTGTGATCAAATCAAGGTGTAAAATCCTGAGTTGCTCCATGATTTAGATCCCAATTTATTTCCACTTATGTTTTAAACTTCAGGTTTGGTAGGCAGAGGTTTGACATTATCATCTTCCTTTTCTTTCCTCACAAAAAGATAAGTTACAAGTTTCACAACGTTTCAAAGGTTTGCAATCTTTTAATAATGATGACAAAATATCACTATCAATTTTACAGTAGATGTTGTGTCCTATTTGCCATATAACAAGGAAATGAGGGAGGAGGGGAGAGGAGGAGAAAGAGACGGAATGAAGGAGAGAGAAATTTTTATCCTAGGAGAACTCTGACACAGAAAGAATGCCACTGGAAACCGACTATTTGGCACAATGTCAGTGACTGTATAAAAAAGCTCCTTAAAAGGGTATAATGGTGAATCTGTAACATAGTTTTGAGGGCTACATCAGCAGATGCTGGAACTACAAGTTATCAGTTAAAGGTCAATTGCAATCAAAATAAATTAGTTCAAGTCCCTGACATCAATTGATGCAGAGGAGTCACATATATAGAAATTAATAACTGGCTTAAATGGGATATAACAAAGCTTTATTTATCATGACATTTGTCTCTTTTGGCCACATGACTTGTTTTATGTAGAATCTTGCAAGATCTAAAAAACATACACTTTACCATAATGACAAAAAGAGTAAATAAAAGCATTCATCTCTTTCCAGTGCAGTAGATGCATAGGAATAGTTGAGTGTGTATGTCTGTGTAAATCAATATAACAGAACTGCTATTTATGAAACTTATAGTTCATATGAAGAATAAGCTTAGAAATCGTGGTATAAATTTCATTAATAATTGTTTTACTACAAACACCTCATAGCTCTCTGTGTTTTTCCTTGGAAGGTACTTAGAAGACTCCCTCTAAAGTAATAGTTCAACCTAAGTGTGCACTTGAATGTCTGTGTTTCCAAGTTAAAATCCTATGGTAGAAGGATTCTACCTTACAATGCCCTCTTTTTTTCTTCCTCAGGGAAGCAATGAAAACTAACTAATAACATTAGTTTCGTAAAGAGTAGAAAGTTACTTTATGTGGATCTGCAGATTCACATTTATGACTTGACTTCTTTTATTTTTCCTTTTATTTTATTTTTTCCTTTAAAAGATCTTCGTTGATTATCCTGACATCTGCTGGTGAGGGCACAGTTGATTCTAGTCTACTTTTCCCTTCAACAACTTGCTCAAATCAAAGATTTTTAGGGGTATTTTCAGTGACAAGTGGTAATACATTCAGTTTAAGTATTTATAGTACTTAAATTCTTGCTGTATCACATAGGAAACCATGAGAAATATTTTAATAATTACTTCACATTGGCAGTCATTTGACTCTGTCTATAAATACATGTTTGCTTTGATTAAGCAAACAACATTATAATCATTACATGGACTATGATAAAAATAAAAAAATCATTTTAGAAGAATATTTATATAGTCTATAACTATAGAACATCTAAGGAAGATGCTAAGCGTCTTCCTTAAAACACAGAGAAGAACTGAATAATAGGAATGGCTTAGCTTTGGTTTTCTGCTTTTTAAAATAATAATGTTAATTTTCAACCTACTTAGCAAATAAAAAGTAAATGATTAACTATGACAGAAGCCATTAACACTCAACACATATTTGCAAAATTTGCTATTTTTTACTCAGTATCCAAATGTTATGATTTACTTCTGACTTGAACTGAGTTCTGAAGCCTGCACTGTTTCTTTGGAAGAGATACAATGAACCTATTACATCCTAATCTTACTCAAAGCTATTGCACCTGCAAGTGTGTGCAGTAAACAACAAATATCAGAATTACTTTTTTAGGCTTCAAGAAACTCTCAAAGGAGGCAACTTTTAAAAAATTATACACTAAATGATAATATATACAGTTCATCCCATTATGCAAAATCCT
Organism: Homo sapiens; assembly: GCF_000001405.40. Lineage (NCBI taxonomy): Eukaryota > Metazoa > Chordata > Mammalia > Primates > Hominidae > Homo > Homo sapiens. The sequence goes on from NC_000005.10 coordinate 84,380,707, forward strand.
TCAAAAATGAAAAGTTTTAGCTAATTAAAACTTTATCTTGAAATTAATAAAATTAACAGCTGGTACTACTAATTTAACTCTAAAAACTGTCAAGCTTTTACTTTTAATGGTATCGAGTGACCATGCTACTTTATTTTAGTCATGTATATCTTATTCCTTCCCTTTACATTGCTATAATTTTATTAGAAGAAAAAAATCACATGTATCTAGAGAGAAAAGCAAACTTTATTAAATATTTATTTAAAATACCCTAGATTTTGAATACATGATTTATATGAACATTGATGTCAATATATTTGAGAAAATTATGACATAGTTTTAATTTAGAAAAGTATTCAGAAATACATTTGCCTACTTTTGAAGATTTTTGCAACTTCAAGATCAAAGAAGGAAAAATAGACCATCTCAATTTTTTCCTGATTTTTAAAAATTATTTTAAGTCTTTTCCCAAAACCATATACATTTAAAACAAATACATTTTAATTCTAAGGAAACATTTCAGGAAAAATCAGAAAAACATTTTCAGAACCAGAGGAAAAAATTGTGTGTTGTATCACCACAGTGGCCAAAATATTGCAATACTGTCAAACTTTCACATGAGAATACTTCATTTTCACTTAATTCTTATTTTAATTTGATATTTCAGAATTATTTTTGTATGTTTTACCTTGACTCTGAAGTTAGCATTTATTTTTAAGGTATAAAATTTAATGGTCAGGTAAATTAGGCAACGAAGACATCAATGTGTAATAATAATATAATAAGATAAAAGAAACTCCTTATTTCTGTATAAATGTAACTATACTAATCATAAAAGGTTAGTGTTGTTATCTGGAGTGAGACTGTTCAGGTATTAATTTATTCTCATGTAAAATTAACTAAAAATCGCCATTGATTAAAAAAAGAAAATGCAAATGCCAATGATTCATAGTATTTAGGACATGTCTAGACATTTTTAGACAGTGCCATTTGCTTAAAGACTTCAGGCACAAACTGCAGGCACAGGGACAGATTGCATAAGATGTCACGTGCTTGCTGCAACTGTATGCATGTTATTGAATTTTTTAGAGCAACCCATACCGTGAATAATTTAATAGTTAATAAAATATTCAATCTGACTGATCCATTGGTTTAATTTTAAAATAAAGACGACTAATAAAAGGAGTTACATATCCTTATCAAATCCCAGGCATTAATGCAAGTAAATTGCAACCCATACGTAGGGAAAACACCAATTTCTAAGAGACATGAGATTAATGATTGGGGGCGGGAAGGAGTGCAAGGAAAATTCTGTGTTAGCACTGGCTTCAATAAGTTTGCCGGAAGTTTAATTGTTTGGAGCTGTCACGGAAGCTGTACTCTGCCTTCTGCAGAGGTGAGGGAGAAAAAATTAGAGAGGTGCAAGTTTTAACAGAAAGGGCTAATGCAAAATGGTCTATTTATTTTTCCTCAAGCCTTTCCCCTGTCCTCACAAGCTAGCTGGGGGAAAAAGGGAGAAATCTCCTGAAGAATATGGAGCATCCAGCTTCCCGAGCATTGTCTAAGAGAACCAGGATGGAGAGTCCAGGCAACATCTCCATGGTTGGCTTGTCTGGCGGAGTAAGCTGTGCCCTCGGCGCGGGTATCTTCAGGAGACAGAGCTCCTGGCTGCAGCGAGCCGGGACTTGCCGCGCCCCGGGGCTCCCTCAATCAGACCCAGCCAGGCAAGCGCGGCCACATAGGCAAGCGCGGCCACATAGGCTAGACGCACTATCTTCTCCTCTACCCCGCGCCGCCCTCCACCTCGGAGCGGGGACGTACGGTGGTGGCGGTGACACAATGCGAGTGAGTGGGTGAGTGTGTTTTCGTGTTTGGGGTGGAAACGTAGGCGGGGAAGAGAAGGAGGAGAGGGGAGTGCCTGCAGTCCTTCCCCCTTCCCTTCCTGCTAAGAGATCAAAGTGCAGAGGAAATCCAGACGGGAAATGAGAGAAAGGAAAAACAGCAGCCGTGGAAGCACTCTCTTTTTTATATCGCTGGAGACTCGGCCGAGCAACTACTGGAACCATTACCATTTCTTAACCTTTAGTGGAGTGGCTGCCTTTGCCTATTAACTGGAAGGGCACTTTGTAAACGCAGGCGAGGCACACACCTACACACACGCCTACACGCTGGGGGAAAATAACCACATTCTGGGGGACGGAGGGAGGCCCAGGCAAGGCGCGGCCATGGATCTCTACTGCCAGAGCTGCGAGGGCATCTGGCCAGCAACACCCGGCTTCTTGGGCGAACAGTCGCCCAAGAGTCCACAATTTTCTTGTGACTCAAATAGATGGATAGGTGCATGGATGGATGGTGCAGAATATTCATACTCTGTCTAATCTCAAGTGGACTGGAGTCAACGCATTTTTAAATCCATCTACCTTTTTTAGAGGCACAGCATTTAAAACCCTGTAGTTCACTCAGCTTTCCACTTGAAGCTGCCTGCAGAGGATTCTATTACCCGCGGATCCCTCACAAGGGGCCGCCCGCATCTGTGAGCGCAGGAGTGGCACAGCTCCCCCAGGCACAGCTCCCACTCGCCTCCCCACACACCCTGCTGCCCCCGCTGCCCTTTTCCGGCGACTACTTCAGCCCCGGCCAGCGGTGAGACCCAGGTCAGCACAAGGGTTTGTATGGACAAGCTGCACCTCGCAGGGGACCTGGAAGTCGCCTAAACTACTCCAGCAGGACACTCGTCGAAGTCCTGCGTTTTCTTTTAAATGCTTTTTTCTTTTTAATTTAATTTGATTTTTATTTTTCTGTTTTTATTTTTTCGTGCAATTCACAGAAGGCATCACCCTACAAGCTCTCACAACTTTTCCGCTCCTGTGCGGGGACGCGAGGGGTGGCTTGCCCCGCACTATTCCCCATTACCAAGAGTTAACACTGGTACTCGGAGGGGGTGCGCAGCTAAGCTCCAGGCCCCTGGGGTCAGACTAGGAGAGGCGGGTTCCTGGGGTTTGCTGTAATCGATGCTGCTCCTCTGGGATGGGGAGGCAGGAGAAAGCTGAAGTGACCTGTGAGACTCCTCTCCACCTCACCCGCGGCCAAAACGCCCAGCGCCGGGTCTGGGTTTGCGAACGGCTCAGCCCAGGCCCTGCGCCAGAGCACCGCACCCGGGGGCGGACGGCCCTGCAGCTCCCCAGCCTCTTCCCGCATCAACTAGCTGACGCCCGGGCGCACTGGCTTCCCCCGCTCCCGCCCGCACGAAAGCCCTGCCCGACGTCTGCAGTCAGCATCGCCCGCACTGCCTAGGGAGGGTTTGCGCCGAGACCCAGTGGCCGAGTGAGCCACAGAGTCGCTGGTCCTGGGGACGCTGTCTTCTACCGCTCCCCACCGTCCTCCTCTTTCCTGTATCTCACCCCGGTACCCCGCACCCTTCTCCCCGCTCGGCCCCGCGCACTCTGCTCAGACTTTACAAGCACTTTCTCGGGGCACCCAGGACTCGACGCCTCCTCCGCGCCGCCAGCGGCGCTCGCCACCCTTGGCACGCCGGAGGGACCGCCTCCGGCCCCCTGCGCGGCGTTTCTCAGGGGACTCCCAGCCCATCCCTCACCCAGCTGTCCGGGTCCCGACGCCTTACCTTTGCCGAACTGGGGGACACCGAGGCTGAGCCCGACCAAGAGCCAGACGGCTACCGAGCGCTTCATGATCCCGTCTCCCGGACGTGACCCCGGCTGGTCAGGGGTCGTCGCGGAGGGCAGTGTAGCCGAGGTGGCAGCGCAGGGCAGCAGCAGACTCCGCCCCTACTAAAGAATTCAAGAAGACGTTCTCTTTCCTCAGCGCTTTGTTAAACAAATTCTTGGAGAGGGCGAGAGTGGTGACTAAAGAGAGGAGCCTTTCCTCCCCTTTTGCCTGCGCTCCGGCGCGCGGAGGTGGGTGAGCTCCGGGGAGCCGCCGGCGGGCTCAGCCCTCCGCTGCGGGTGGGTCCCGGCAGAGGCGCGGCGGGCGGGGCGCGGGCTCCCGCGGCCGCCCCGGGTCTGCTGCGCGGGCAGGCAGACCCACCGGCAGACAGGCGGACCGGGCGCTCGGCTGTCGCTGTTCTCCGCGCGGCGGCTGCGGGGCTTCTGACTTGGAGAACAATGAAGCGTGAGCTGGAGGGGAGCGAGCGGGCCGCCGGGAGCGCACTGTGTACAAACAGAGGCGGCGTGCGTGTGAGTCTGAGCCTGGCAGGCGCGCTCCCCACTCCCCCGGCGCCCGCCCGCCCTCCGCCCGCCCTGTTATTCACTCCCCGGGTCTCCCCCTCCTCTCTCTCTCTTTTGCTCTCTCTCTCTGTCTCTCTTTTGCTCTCTCTCTCCTTCCTCCCTCCTCCCCTCCTCTTTCAGCTCCTTCTGCTATAAGAGAAAAGGGAGACAACTGCAGCCACACCCTAGCACCTAGCACCTGCCACCACCTCTGAAGTTCCTGCATTGCCTGTACCTTCTCCGCACATGCTGGAGACTGTGGGGTTAAGAGCTGCACCCTTGCTGCCTGAGAGTCCCTTGGATTCCAGCACTGACTTTATAATTAACCACGTTAAGGATTCCCCTGAACTTCCTTTCTCAGTATAACCAGGAACAGAAGTTAAGAGATTTTGAAAAGTGACTCTTGGGGCACAAAACTGCATGAGAGACAGAACCCTGCAAAGTGAATTGCCCCGTATTTCTCAGGAACTGCAACGTAGTCAGCAACCAGACCCTAATCAGCTAAGACAGGGCTGCTCTGCTGCTCTGTCTACAATTTAGTTAGCTCCAGGGCTGGGGAGAGAGGGTTGTGGGCTCATCTGTTCACGGGGGCAAAAGGGTGGAAGTGAGTAGGAGACATGCATCTCGTTAAGCAGGACATCTGTTTCAGAGAAGAAGTGGGGCAAGTTTGGGAACTGTGCAAGAACATAAAGGCAAAGACAGACCCTTGAAGCATCACTAAGGTGGATCAAATTTTCTTTCTATCCGCCAAAATAAATGGACTGGTTTTTGCAGTGGAAGTGATTGAACCAAAAATACAGCTCATGGCTTACAATTGTGCTTTCTTCTCTGTTTTTCGGTTAGAATGATTGCTTATTGTACATGGATCCAATTCCAGCAGTTACAGGTACCAAAATGAAACAGGGCTTCTTTTTTCTTTTTTTTCTTTTTTTTTTCTTTTCCTTTTTTCTTTTCTTTTTTTTTTTTTTTTGTCTTCTAGAGAGGGAGGTAGGGAGAGAGACAAACACAGAGCTAGAGAAATTGAAAGAGAAACATTCTCGAAGGCAAAGAGTTGAAAGGTGAATCTACTAAGAAAAGAATAACAGAGTGCAATTAGCCATGGAACTACATCTCCATCTGCCTCCTTTAAAGGATGAGTCCTTTAAAGGTGAGATGAGTCCTTTAAACTTAAATTTCTACCTTCCTTTTCAAATTTTAAGTGAAATGAAGAATGCGAGGTGAATGGAACCGTAATGCTGAATACTGCTAGGGAGGGTTTAAGGTATTGTATAACTGACAAGCAAACAACGGAAAAAAGAAAGAAAGAAAGAAAAAAAAGAACACCTTTCAGAAAGGGTTTGTTCATATCTCACGATTGGTGGGAGGGTTAAAACACATTTTTTAAAAAATCACCTTGCTAAGAGAATGAGAGAGATTCATTTATTTACTGTCTATTTATATGCCTAAAGTCACAGATGTTAGAATAAGACAGTATTGTCCAGAGTTGTAGCAAAGATGTTTCAAGCAATCAAATTCTAATTTTCTGGTGCATCATCATTACTTCCTTGTGAAACTATGTTTTCAGTCACCCTGTGGCATGTTCATCCTAAAATACACTTTAACTTTTGAAATGAGATGTCTAATATTAGTTTTAGGTTTTATTTCTAAAGGATAGTACTAAATCCTAAAAATGTAAAGTTGGAAACCAGTCTCTCTGGGATGTGATATTTAAGGGAAAAAAAAGAGTGGGTTAAGAATTTTGTGTAGTTTTGTATGTTATTCCCTGTTTATTTCCACTTTTTTGATAGTATTTGACCTTAATGAGCATATTAAGAAGTTAAATTATTTTTGCCAACAGTGTGTGTTTCTAAACATGTATCTTTCTTTTAATTTAAAGAAGGGTTTTTAAAAACTAGTGGGCATAAAAGTACATTACAATGCACATTCTATGCCCAAATACTTGGTGCGGAGACAGTAAATGACATTCTGTATTACCTGATAGACAACTTATGAAAGATGTTGCCAGTTTAATATCTCTACTTTCTCGTCTCATTTCCAATAAAAAATTGATAGTCTTAAATCCACAGCTCCATATTCATAATCATCCCCTCTTTTTGAACCACTAATTGATAATGATCATCTACCAATAAGCCTTTCATTTTGAAGATTCTAGGCACTTTACCTAATTTACCTTGATAGGACTCATTTCACTGTTACTGCACTCACACATAGCCTCTTCAGAAGTGGAATATAAGATATGTTAGAAGACTGCAGAAATTGAATTATTTAAAATAAAATAAAATTTAAAAAGTAAAAGGATGAAACTCTATTGTGAAGCTTGTACTTCACACAAAGTGCTAAGGGACCTTTACTAATCACTGTGATCCAGCCTACAGTTTTATAGCTTCTCTTAATAGGAGCCTACAGTGCCAAAAATGAATCTGTACATCACTCAAAGACAGTGCTTTTCAAGTTATTTTCTGCAGGCCTCCTTTTCCCCAAGATGTTAATAGGTTTCTGGGAGGAAAAAATCCATGGTAAAATAATTTGGGGAGACATTGCATATCAAAGCAGCCTCTTAGAGATTCATGGTGAATGTTAGTATATTAAATACTTTGAAAGGTCCTGTGGTTAAGAATTTTTTTCAAAAATATTTAATTCAGCATTTTGCAGACTTTCTTTTTTGTACTATGACAAACTTTTTCTTAGAACACCTGTTAGTATACTAAATACTTAGTGCTGCAAAGGAAATAACTTGAAAATGATGCTTTGAAACAAAGCAGAATAAAGTAGCAGCAAAACAAAACAAAAAAAAGACTGTAAAAAGTTCACTGGGTTTTGCTATGGGCTGAATGTTTCTGCACAACCCCCCTCCCCTGCGCCCAAATTTATTTGTTGAGGCCTAAGAACCTACTGTGATATGTTTTGATGTAGAGCCTTTGGAAGGAATTGGGCCATGAGAAGAGCCCTCATGAATGGGATTAGTTCCCTTATAAGAAGAGACACCAAGGAAGTGATCTTTCTCTGCCCTCTGCTATGTGAAGACAAGGTAAGAAGACAGCTATGAACCAAGAAGCAGGCCCTTACCAGACACCAAATCTGCTGGTGCATTGATCTTGGACTTCTCAGCCTCCAGGACTGTGAGAAATAAATGTTTATTGTTGAAGCCACCCAGTCTACAGTAATTTGTTATAGCAGCTGAAATTGACTAAGACAATTTAAAAAAATTAATCTCATTGACTATCAATTTGGATTCTGGAGCATACCTGGATTCAGGTATACATTGGATTTGGGCATATCTGAACTGGAATATGGTCTCTATCATTCTAACTCCTTTAACTAAGTTAAAGTCTGTTAAGTGCCAAACCTCAGTATTCTCATCTGTAAAATGAAGGTAGTGATAGTATCAAACTGATAGTGGTAGGTTGTGGTGGTGCACAAAAGGGCCTAGTCCAGCACTGGACACATGGTGATGATGATGAAAGATAATGATACTGATAAATAAGAAGACAATACTAATATACATAATTCCAAAAGAATTTTTCTTAATACGTGATCCTCTTCACTCCCCGTCTCCCATCCCCATTAAATTACCTGGAATTTTTTAGTCCATCTTTCAGTTTGTCAAGCAACGAATAACACTAAAGGTAGTCTTTTTTATTATCGTGTAATTATGGAATTTTTTATTATTTTGCATTTTAAAACTTTGTTTTGAATTTCCAAAACTTTTTATTTAATATCTAAAATGTCTTTCTACTAAAATTTTGCTCTCACCGTCTGAGACTCAAAGCAGAAAACCCAGCCAAGACCATCTCAAATTCTGACCTACAGAACTGGGAGTTAATAATTGGTGTTGTTTTAAACTGCTGAGTCTGTGGTAGTTTGCTATGAAGACTAATATAGTTGGTTACTATTGTTATTCTAATTTCAGGGAGAAGGAATAAGTCATGGAGCGGTTAGGTTAATTGTCCATCCTCTCAAGTTAGTAAGTGTTGGAGCCGATAAGTGAATCTAAACAGCGTGAATCTAAAGCCCACTGCATACTTCTGCCAACAATTATGAAGGGTCGACTGTATGCTAAGCTCTAATGCATTTTTACATATATTGCTTTACTAAATAGGTTACCTCAACAACCTTTATGAGGTAAATATTATTATTATTTGCATTTGACTACTGAGGAAACCAAGAATCAAAACCTTTAAGTACATTGCCCAGGATCAAGGTGGCGGTGAGGAATGGAGCCAAGAGCTAGTATCAGAGCCCTGCTCTGGTTCCAGTAGTGATTTTCACAGCCATTGTGTTAAAATGCCTATTTAGACAGTGGTCTAACTTACTTTATTTATTGACATTTTCAATTTCAATGGTTATAATTATAATTGTCATTTTTTAGTACAGTTTGCATTTCTCCCTGATCTTCTTGATGCATCATTTTAGAATATACATTGCTGAAATGTAGAATTTCAAGCACATTTTAAATTCTCTACAATATTTGCATAACTCATAACACTTTTCTTCATTGCTCCCACAAGCACCAAGATAATTCTTTCCTCCAACCCTCTGCTCATGCTGTTATCCCCACCTGAAATGCCCTCTTACAAATCCTACTAGCTGAATTACAGTTTCCATTTAAGACCTCCCCGAATTATTCTAGCACCAGAGAACCATCATTTCTTAGAATTAACAGTGCTTTTAATTTTTTTTCTAGTTGTTTCACTTGTGTTAATCTTATCTTTCCAAAGAATTATATGGTTCTTACCATTTAGATAACTGCATGTCTTAGACATAGCTGAGTGTTATGTTTTAAATTTCTTCAGTCTTTCCACTGTGAACACTAAGGAAAATTAATTTTTAAGACTACAGATTTGATACCAAATCCCTACTTCCTAATATTTCACTGCCTGATTCCCTAATGGATGCTCTTTCCAGAAAATGTGTAGGGTCATTAAGCAAGAGTGTACCTTTGCTTTCAGAATTTGACCCTGGTAGGAGAAATTTCTGGTGCTTCTAATTCTTTCCCTCCAGTTTCCCAGTCAAACTCATTTCAGTGACTTGGTTTTTAGCTTCCTGAAATATGTTTGAATAATTAATATATACACACAATAAAAGTTCAAAGGTACAAAAGAGTGTGCAGGAAAATAAAAGTTTTCCTCCTAATGACATTCCCTTCTTACACAAGGTTATTCCCTCAGGGCCTACTGCTGATATCTAGTAGCTATGCTTGTGTATCCTTCTAAAGATACACAAACACACCCCCCTATATATGTGTGTTTATATGTACTTGTGCATACATGTGTGTATATATAGTGTGTATATGTGTACACACATACTTTTTACAAAAGTTACTAAATTATACAATCATGGATCTTGCTTTTCTTCACAAACGTTCTGTGTTTTGAAATTGTATCAAGGACTGCATAGTATCTGTATATGTAAATCCTTTTTGATAGACATTTAAGTTGCTTCCAATCTTTTGCTATTGCAAGCAATATTACATGAATACACATTTTGCACATGTGTGCAAGATAAACATATTAGAATAGATTTGTTGAAGTAACATTGTTGGTGGGGGGAATGTTCATATAAAATTGTGATAGATATTACCAATTTGCCATTCATAAGGTATCTATGAGTTCACCCTTCCACCTGTACTGTATCAGACAGCTTGTCTCTCTTTAGTGTGGCTGATATGATTCTTAACAGTCTTTGAAAGACAAAAAAAGGTATCTCATGGTTTTGAACACCTATTATTTTTACTGGGTTTGAGCAACTTTTCGCATATTTAAAAATAATTATTTTCTTTATGTGAACTGGCATTTCATGTATTTTGCTTTTATTTCTACTGATTTGCTAACCTTTTTATTGATTGGTAGGAGATCTGTATAAGGAAATTCATCCATTTGGGGTCACATTAATGTCAAAAAATTTATCCAGCTGGTTCTTGTCCTTTAACCTAGTTTACACCTATTTGTTTGATTTTATTGTGCTAAAATTGCTAAAATATTTTATATTTGGGTGATGAAATTTATCCACCTTTGCTTTAAGATTTCTAGGTTTTGATATTTGCTAAGATAGGCTTTCAGTATTCTGAATTTATAAACATATCTTACAGTGTCTTATAGTAGTTTTATGAATATTTCATGTGTGTTTTTACAATTCTTACCAAATTAAAATTTGAGAGATAGTATTTGTTACTATCTTACTTGTTCTCTCAAAAACTACCAGTAATAACAAAACCATATATTGAATAAATCCATATATTTCAAATTAATATGACATGCCAACTCACTCACTTAGTCACTATATATTTGGCTCTACTGCTTGCTTTTATAGACTGTTCCATTGGGTTATCTATTCGTGTGCCAGTACTACATGCCTAATTGTTGTTTTAATTTTTTTTTAATAACTACTAGGGTAAACATCATCTACTTCTTTTTTAAAAAATACTCCCTGACTAATGTACATTTATTTTTTTTCCTACATGAACTTTAGAGTGAGCTTGTCTAGTTGAAAAAAACATAATAAATATATTTATAGTATTAGTATACCTATGTATATATCCAATTTTCTTCTGTGTTTCTCTTGTTAAGTTTCTATTTAGATATTTTATATTTTTATATGCCTACCTAAATGCAAATTTCTTCATTATATTTTGTAACTGGCTCTTCTACATTTATAGGAAGGCTATCTTTGTGTGTGTGTGTGTGTGTGTGTGTGTGTGTATGTGTGTCTATATATGTGCACTAATGTTAAACCCAGTTACTTTATAAATTGTAAATTGTCTTTTATAATTTACATTATTAGCTTTTTCGTTTATTATTTTGGGTTTTCTAGACATAAAATCATCACATCTGAAAAGAACTTTAGTTTTACCTCCTTACCTCCTCTTCGAATTTTCATGCTTATTTTTTCCATCAAATTGTTATAACTGGTATTATGTAATAGATTTTAAATAAATGGACACACTTGGACTATTTTTCACTCTAATGGGACCACTCTAATGACCTCCAAGGCACAGCACAAGGACTCTTGTCTCCCATTTCCAGTGCATGCACTACAGCCATTTTCTCTATACCAGCATTTGCTCAGAAAAAAAAAAAAAGAGTAAGACATTAACATCAGTGTAGGAAGGAAATAAGTGTCCATGAATATGCAGGATAGGATAAAGGAGGGAAATTATCTTTTCTCTACAGTAAATAAAAAGAGGCTTATCAAGAATTGGTAGAATTGGATGTCTTAAGCTTTGACGTTGCATTTGACAGAAAATTGGAACTCATTGTCTTTTGATTTAAAAGAAAGGGATGATAAAATCTTCCACACCCACCATAGCAGGAGTTATGTGGTTATCTAGGGAAAAACGTATTATAATAGGCCAAAGGACCGTCTTAGACTATTTCCCCTTTTATCTAGTTTTCATTGCCATATTCTTCTCTTTTCCTCCGTTTATCACATTGCTGAAAATTGAGTCAGAGATTTATTTATTTAAGATATAAAAGATACCTGATACATCAAGCATAGTAATTGGACCAAATATGAAACTAAAGGAAATCTAAAGAAATAATGTGTACACCATCTATAAATAAATGTCAAGGGTTATGAATAGAGAAGATCCTCTTGGGTTTTCTTTGTTCCAACATGGGCTACAACTTAAAGAGAAAAATCTGTCAATAAAAAATTATTTGTTTTCACAATCACTGTTTTATTTAAAAAATAAAACGGAAATGGAATATATTTTAATATATGTTATTTTGGGCAACCGCAATTTAAAATATAGCTTGTTTCTCAGCCATTGGAGAATATCATTTAATTTTATGTGTTTTATATTGATACAGATTCTGTTCTTTCTGTCTGTAGATAAAATGGGTCTAGTAGTACATTCTCCCTAAAATATACAGTAATTAATATATTTCCTTAAAATAAGATAAAATACCCATGCATGTCTCATAGCACAATTGTAATTTGTCTTAAATTTATCACTATATTAATATAATATAAAATAATTTATTAGAGATTTTAAATATATACATTTCTTCAAAAACCATAATGCTAATATTAAAATTGGAAAAATTAAGAAAATATCATGATTTCAATACGAAGCTAAGGTCCCAGAAACATTAAATAAATTAAGAAAGGCATGATGTCATTATGTTTTCAAAACATTGTATAGAAAGAATCACCTGGTTTGAATTCTTATTTTTGTTTTGGTCCGTCTCAAAAACCTACATTTATACATGATGATGATATTATTAAAAAAGAAAATTATAACAACTTAATCTTTTGCTTTTGAGATGATTCATACAAAAGTAAGAATTCAAACCAGGTATAACCTTTTGAAAACACAAGGACATCTTTCCTTTCTTGATTTACTTAATGATCCTGGGACTTTAATTCTAGTAAACTTCTAGTTTCAAAAACAAAATTATAAAGCATATGTAAAACAGACAATGATGCAAAATTGCACAATTGCCTGTCTTAATTTTTAAAATTCAGAGATTTTAGTTTGATTCACATAATCATTTTTTTCTCAAGAACATTTATATGGATGCAACTTGATTTGAAAAGCAATTTGTGACCTGAGATATTTAAAACTGTACATTTTGATGTGACAAGTTGTAAACTGTATAGTAAAAGCCAATTGAATTGAGAGCCTTCACTCAGTCATCAACAAATAAAATTGAAAAAAATTCTTTAACTGAATTATTATTTAATCTTTTATTATGAGGCATGCATTCTTGAATGTTTTCCAAAACATAATCAGACATAAAATTGAAACTACATACTACAAGTCAATTTAAAAGCATGATATTTAATTGATAAATCTGGCCAATCCCTTTAACATTCATAGTGGAGATGAATAAATTAAAAAGGCGTCAAAATGGAAGATAGATGACCCTGCTAAAAAAATTTTTAATTGCATTCGTCTACTTTTAAAAATAAATCCCACATTGAATTTAATATATGAACTATTTTCTAGTCCTTTTTTTTTTTTTTTTGTAGAGATGGGGTCTCAAACTCGGCCTCAAGCATTCCACCTGCCTCAGCCTCCCAAAAGTGCTGGGATTGTAGGCCTGAGCTACCACACCTGGCCTCTAGTCTTTCTATTTATAAGTAGGAGATATAATAGCATTTAGGGTAAGTGGTGGAAACTTTTGCAGTTTTTCCTGTAACTATCTGACTCAGCATCAGCTGAAAATATCCTTGTATTATTTTAACATTTTCCTTTCCTCTACTAAATAATGTGTCACTCTGGCTATGCCCTGAGGTGGTGACTCAGTTCTGTCTAAGACGCTGCCTAGGGATCTTAAGCAATGATTGAAAATACAGGAAGTTTTCCCCTTAGAAAAGCCCTGGTTGGCTGGGCGCAGTGGCTCACACCTGTTATCACAGCACTTTGGGAGGCCGAGGCCGGCAGATCACGAGGTCATGAGATCGACACCATCCTAACACAGTGAAACCCTGTCTCTACTAAAACTACAAAAAATTAGCCAGGCACCGTGGCAGACACCTGTAATCTCAGCTACTCAGGAGGCTGAGGCAGGAGAATTGCTTGAACCTGGAAGGTGGAGGTTGCAGTGAGCTGAGATCGCACCATAGCCCTCCAGACTGGGTGACAAAGTGAGTCTCCATTGTGAAATAAAAAATAAAAAGAAAAAGAAAAGCCATGGTTTTGATAACTAAATGCAGAGACTATTGATCCACAACTTTTAGCCAGTTTACTTTAATTAAAAGGAGCTTCTAGGCCTTTTACCTTTTATATTTTTTAGCCACAGCAAAATGTTTTATTGTTTTATCTGTTTTACATTCTACTGAACTTAGTTTTAATTATTATATTTCTTTTAGCTCTTTAATACTTAATTTCAGTTTTTTCAAATGTAGAAGAATACTCTTATGAATTCTCTGAATAACTTGCATTTTTAATAAGGAAGACAGACAGCCCTTTGCTTCTAATTAGTTCTGTAAAATCCTTTTAATGCTTTGAAACAGATATCCTTTTTTGGGTCTCAAATGGCACCTTTGTCCTAAAACACAGTCTTATGGAGGAAATGGATGGCATAGACCCTAAATCACTGTTCCTGGCAGTCACTGAGACTTTTGGCTAAGGATTTCTTCCCACAGGAGCAATAAGCACCAACTCGCAGACAGCTTAGGGTAAAGACTAGAGTATTGTTGCTTTCTAATTTCTAAGCCCGTTCAGTTCTTGGTAAATGAGTTCATAAATTTAAGGTAATTTTCTGACAGTGGCTAAGCCTTCCATTTAGCCTATAGCATGGGGTAAAAATAAAATCAGAAGCCATCATAATTCCTTTGTATATATGTATGTAAAAATAACCACTCCATAAAATGTTTTGTAAGCTACAAATATTCTAATGTAATTTCTATTTTATTTTGAATTTTTTATTATTAGTTATTTTTCTTATATTTTTTCTTTCTTCAAGACATATCAAATTAATTTTCCCTGGCCAAATATTTAATAAATCTACTGACTTAAAATGTCACCTTTTTCAAATATTACTTTTCATACAAACATGATCCCTTGCATACAGTTCCATTTTCTCTTTTGTGTTTTCTGGTACCAAGACCTCATAGTTTGACTTTTATGAATTTCTAGTATATATTGTACTTGATAAACTTAGATGCCTTTTTTTTTCATTAAAATATATCCCATTGAAACTTGGGTTTGCTTCAATTATGCAGGTCAATTTGAAAATAGCTTCTATCTTTATAGAACTATTTTATTTGTTCTTAAATATGCGTCTCTGCCTATTAGCTTCTTGAATGTCCTTTAATGAAATTTTGCAGATGTCTCTTTCTTACTCTGTCTCTCTGTCTTAAATGCTTTTCATTATGTTTGTTCAAAATATTATGTTCTTTTGTTTCTGTTATGAATTATATCATTTTTTGCCATTATGTTTCTAAGTGACTCTTTGTTGTATTAAAGAATTTGTCACTTGTCTTACTCTGTTTTCTGTTGCTCAGAACAGAATACCTGAAATTTATGAGTAAAAAGAATTTCTTTTTTACGGTTATAGAGGCTAAGTACTCCAAAGTTAAGGGGCCATGCATGGTGAGAGCCTTCTTGCTGGTGGGGAATTTCAACAGAGTTCCGAAGCTGCCTAGAGTATCACATGATGAGGGGGCTGTGTGTTAGCTCAGGTCTCTCTCACCCTTCTTATAAAGTCACCAGTCCTATTCTCATGATAACCCATTAATCCATGAGTGGATTAATCCATTCATGAGGGCAGAGCCATCAGGACCCAATCACCTCTTAAAGGCTCCACCTTTCAATACTGACACGTTGGGGATTAAGTTTCAAAATGAGTTTTGGAGTGGACAAACATTGAAATCATAGCATCACCCCCATTCAAAGTTCTTTAGTTCTACCAAATTTTCTGAGTCCTTGCTTTTTTTTCTTGCAAATAATTATATATGCAAATAATGTGGGCTCCTTTGCTTTTCCCTTATCTATATTTTACTTTGTTTTGTTAGTTGTATAATGTGACAACAACTACTTTTACAATTAGTTGCATAATGTTGCAACTAATAAAGTATTTTATTTATAATTCTAATAAAGTATACTTTATTAGTTGCACTTCTGAAACAAATCTAAGTAACTCTCAGTGGTGTGGACTTCTGTGGTGTTGTTTCCAGGCTACAGTTCAGAAGTGTGCAAATGTGAGCAACATATGGAAACATATCATGTGCAGGCTTGTGTCTGCCTCCAGCAGGACTCTCCTAAGTACTGAGCTGCAAAGAAATATATACTATATTGTATCTTTTTGTATATATTTCTAAAAAAGAATACTGAACCATTTAAACAATTTTGTGATTAAAAAGGTCTAACAAAAAGGTTAGTTGCCTGATTGATTTTTGTCTCTTTAAAAATAGGCAAAGTAGAAAAGAAAGGTAGATGGCATAAAATGCAGCAATGTCTTCCCAGGAAAGAGAGCGAGAAGTGTTTCTCACTTAGGCTAAGGATATCTAGATGGATAAGTGCTAACTGGAGCTCAGAGTACACACTTGGAATGGAAGAGGTTGGAAAGCTGGGAAGAATGGATGGCATGGTCCTAGAAAAGGCTGGAAGTGGAACACAGCAGCCACCAGGAAGCCAAACACCTGGATAAAGTATTACAAGTAGAGACCTCAGTCTCCCTGGCACTTCTACAACCAGCAGAGAACTTTAAAAAATGGGAAATTGTCTTTGGGAGGCCAAGGCGGGCAGATCACGAGGTCAGGAGATCGAGACCACCCTGGCTAACACAGTGAAACCCCGTCTCAACTAAAAATACAAAAAATTACCTGGGCGTGGTGGAGGGTGCCTGTAGTCCCAGCTACTCGGGAGGCTGAGGCAGGAAAATGGCGTGAGCCTGGAAGGTGGAGCTTGCAGTGAGCTAAGATTGCACCACTGCACTCCAGCCTGGGGCACAAACCGAGACTCCATCTCAAAAACAAAAAGGGATGTTGTGAGGTTGTGAGTATTGTCTGATTTTTACTTGCTTTCTGAAAATGTAAGATTTTATTTATTATTCTGTGTTGTTATTATTAAACATTCTATGAAATAAATCTCAAGAATTTCTGCAAGCAGGAGTGATGGCTGTCTAGTACAATTTGTTTTATTGAACTTTATTGTCAATGTGTCAAGTAAAGTTTGCTTCTTTCATTTAAGAAAAGATAGACAAGATGATGAGTAGGGAGCTGTTTTCACTTTGACTTGAGCTACCTCACAGTATTAGAATGACATAAGTGTCTAAATATTATATCCTATGTTTCTACTGGGAACATCACCTGATAACATTTTTATCAACTAAATCTCCTGATCAGTGATTCTCTTTGGTCAGTTTGACAGTGAATTTTGTCTTACCTGTGAAGTTAAACCCATGATAAGCACCGCCAGCTCCTGTCATCTTATACTGTTTTCCTCTTTGTATATTCAGCTCTATTTAAGTTTTCTCAGGCAGTTTGATCCTTACTCTCAGTTAATCTCCAACTCACTAGTAATGAAACCTTATCATGAGACATTCAATCATTCACCTACTCTTTCATGCATTACAAAAATGTACATTTACCATATACTATGTCTCAGGAATTGTACAAAGTTGTTTGTTTTAAGCCACTAAATTCAAGGTCTGCGAAATGCTAAGATAATATTTTTCTTCAGTGGTGTTATTGTGCAGCCCAAGCATTTCAGTAATTTCCTAGTCTTCAGTAAATTCACCTGCATACAACCTTATTCTCCATACGTATACCAAAAATCCTGGTCTCCCAGGACTGCACATCCACTTAAACTAAAAAAAATATGGGAATCTATTTAGCTTTACACAACTGGGACAACAGAGTATCATAAGGAAACCAGACCCCAGATCAATCCTTTTAAGCCTTCTCTGTGAACGTCTGTGTTATCTATTATTTAAAACAAAAATGCTCACTAAATGCCTACTGTGCTCAGGCAAGCCACATACAGCAGAGAAGTGGACCTAGTAGACTATAATAATGGATGGCGGCAAACTGGAAAATGCACGCCCACTTTAAAGGGAACAGCAAGCTACCCGGTTAGGTAGACAAATTGTTGTCTTGTAGGATTATGGAAGCAGCGTGGTCAGATTTGTTTTTTGAAACCCAAAATTTAACTTATAATTTCTCAATTTTTAATGTGCAGGTATAATTCAATACATCTACAAATTAAATAAAGTATATATACTTATAGTAATTGTATTTTTTACATAAAAAGAACTTTCATTTCAATAATTGACTAAAATAAATTAAAAATTGATCAACAAGCCTATTATCCTTACTATCAAATAGCACAAAATAGAAAAACTTATGTCAATATTTTAAGCTAATTTGGATAAGAACATTTTAAAAATGAAAATAATAAGATAAGTTAGTGACTAATTTCTCTGTCTACATAAAATGAACACAAAACTTCTGTATGTCAGAAAATCATGAATTAAAAGGTAAACTTCAAAGCAGAAAGAATATTTCCCAGTGATATCTGACTCTCATACACCACCAGTGAGACTATTGATTGCCTCCACCTTTCTAAGAAACAATTTGACAATATATATCAAGAAGGATAAAAATAATATAAGCTTTGACCTAGTGAACCAATTTCTAAGAATTTATACTAAGGAGACTGCTTGAAATAGTTTCATGTATGATTAAAATTTTAGTTACGTGGGTGATTATTCTAGAATATTGATTATATCACATAAATTATTTCTCATGTTATTTATTACATCAAATATTGGAAATAGGCTAATGTCCAACATTAAAAAGGATAAATAATCATAACCAATTCAATAGAAATTATTTTATAATCTTCATAACATGATGGTTTTAAATAATTTTTAAGATATTAGGCAAATGCTGATGTTTAACTTAGCTTTTTAAAATATCATATAAAATCACCTATAATCTACCACTGGTTTTTAATGACTGTTTGCAGATTAGAGTATAACTTTTGGTAATGTTCCTGAATGCCTCCGAGCATAGCACATGAATATGTATATCTTACCACTTTTGTTTATCCCTCCCTTCCTACCTTGATCCTCATCTCTCT
Source organism: Homo sapiens (assembly GCF_000001405.40). Taxonomy (NCBI): domain Eukaryota; kingdom Metazoa; phylum Chordata; class Mammalia; order Primates; family Hominidae; genus Homo; species Homo sapiens. The sequence goes on from NC_000005.10 coordinate 84,399,442, forward strand.
TTCTCATTATACACTAAGCAATGTATCATAGATACATTCGTGGTTCATTACATTTTTTGGTGTAATTTGAGATGAGTATGCAACATTCCTTCGTATAACAACTACAAACATAAGCATCTAATCCCTTATTTATTGCTTTTTAGGTCATCTGCAGTTTTTTGTTGTTGTTGATGATCTTCCTGTCATAGACAATGCTGTAACAAACAGACTAGTAAGTATACCTGTATAAACTCCAGCAACTTTTTCTGTAATGTTTCCTAGTTGAGAGGTTACTGGGCAAAAAGCAGACACGTATAAAATTCTACTAGATATTCTTAGATTTTCTGTAAAGTTAGGACCAAGTTAAATTTTTACAAGTAGTGTACCACAGTACATGTTTTCCCCAATACTAAATATTAGCAAAGTTTTTTGAATTATGCAAACCTGATAGTCAAAAAAACCTCATTATTGTAACTGTGTTATCTTGACTGCTAGTGAGGTTACACCTTCTTTTTTTTCTTTTGCTTTTTGACAATAACTTTCATCTTAAATGAATTTTTTTTTTTTTTTTTGAGACAGTTTCACTCCTCCCAGGCTGGAGAGCAGTGGTGCCATCATGGCTCACTGCAGCCTCAACCTCCTAGGCTCAAGTGATTTTCCCACCTCAGCTTCCCGAGTAGCTGGGAGTACTGGCATGCACCACCATACCTGGCTAATTTTTGTGTTTTTTTTTAATAGAGAAGAGATTTCACCATGTTGCCCAGGCTCGTCATGAACTCCTGGGCTCAAGCTCTCTGCCCACCCTGGCCTCCCAAAGTGCTGGGATTACAGGCATGAGCCATTGTGTCCAACCTGAATTATCTATTTACATTCCATGCCCATTTTTTATTGTAATATTTGTTTTTTACATAATTTCACAGAAAGTTGTAATCAAAATGTTAGGAAAGATTATTTCTAAGGAATATTACAATGAGTATTTTAAGATTGAATTTTAAATTTTTTTCATTTAAAATTTTATACGTGTATCTTTTTTATGCTATAAAATTATATAACAATTTTACTTAAAAGGCAATAAAGGATATGATGATCAGCATGTATGTCACAAAACAATATAAAGATTCCATATAATAGAAACCCATTTTTATTCTTATAAACCTCCTGTAATTCAAGGCTCATTTTTATACCAGTTATTTGACTCCAGCATCACTCATACAGCATTTCTGTATGTCTTGATAAGTCCACAGGTTTTCTACTTTTTTGAGCTAAATCGTGATGAAGCAGATGATAATCTGAGGCTCGCCTGCTATATTGTGAAAATCCCTCTGTGCTTGTAATAAAGGCTTCATCTCCACAAGACCTAAAGTATGTGTCGAGTGTATAAATGGAACTCTTTTTTAAATGGAAAATACCATATTACACTAATTATTTGTGTGAATTACTCATTTCTTTATTTTAATGTAAAGTATACATTAAGGCTTCTAGAAAAAGAATTTTGTTTGTTTTCAAAGATAAAGAAAAGCAATACACTTTTGAAATTAATAGAGAAAAAAATAACATCTCAAATAGAATTGGGCTAGTATAGTGCTGATTATCTCTCTCTGTTGTATGGTTTATGTTATGTGTGGTTGTTTAGAAACATCATTTTACTAATCTTTGGGATATTGTATCCAAGGTAGCCTGCAGAGTTTTGCTGTTCAATTTATCTTATCTTTAATATGGATTTGTGGGCTCTTACAGCCATCAGCTATACTACGAAAAGGTCCTCTTTTGTTGCTCCTTTGTCATTTACTTCTTGTTTCCAATCCATCAGCACATCTTTTATTGAGTTCCTGTTTTGTTAAAGGCAAGACTCTAAGGAAAAGGCAAAGAATTATAGGAATTACAACCTGCCCTTTAAAAGCTCATAGTCTGTGTGGGAGTGGAAGGACTATAATATTTAAAGAGAATTAAGATAATTTAATAAGAAGTGTTTCAACAATTAACATTGAAGATTTTGTTTTCATTTTGTTACTTGTTTACAGGTTTTTACCTGGAATAAAATATAAATGTTTTAGTGCCCATAGATAAGAGAGGTGATAGGGCAGTGAATAACATAATATGTGTGTCTATAATATGGTTGTAGGTATAGACTGTATATAGAAAAATAAGAAGAAAAAAACAAATTCTGAAAGACTCAGAAATAAATCTGTTACTGAAACTATTTGGTGAAGCCTAAGCTATTGAAATGCCAATAATTGATTTAAAATATATTATTTAGCATTGGTCTCTTTAATTGCAGGTAGCCAAAAACTCAATTGGGAAATTGTTGTTTCCAAAAACTAAATGGGAAATTATTGTTTATGTGATTGAACATGGAGATCTTTCATGATTCAGCGATGGCTGGATTCAGAGGACCAAAGATTGGTACAAGCAGTGACTTTTCTCCATCTCTTGGTTCTCTCTGCCCCTGTTTTGGCTCTGGCCAGACAAGCATGCCCCATTGTGGTGCAAAGAAGGCTATGGAAGTTTCAGCCTCCTATCATTCTGGGTTTTAGTATATATAGATGATATCTTTTTAAAGTCAAGTTGAAAAAAGCCCAATTCAATGCTTCAAATCGAGGAGCATGACTATCTCTGAGCCAACCTCTGTTGATGGGAAAACAGAATGCACTAAATGGCTAAAGCCTGAGTCAAATATATACCGCTGAAATAGGGGATTTAACCAGCTCCACCAAAACAAGCACACTGAAAGTGGGGTTTGCCACTTCTGAAAGGAAAATTTAAAAAACAAAATGGTTTGTAGATGATCTACAAGCAGGAGGCATGATGTTATGAAGCAACATAACTATCAGTTAGGGGATTGTGGGGCTTCATCTTTAACACTTATAGTTCACATACTTGTATGTTTTGTATGAACATATGAATAGAATGTTAACAAGGTGGCCAACATATCTAAATGTTGTTTAAAAAAGAGAATTTCAATGTTAGGTGGAGTGTTGGGGAATAAGCACACAGGTAAAGTGTTAAAAGAAATCAGTAGGCAAATTTAACAGTAAATATCAACACTTTTATAACTGTTTCAACATATTACCCACAGTCATATCTTGAAATTCATCATAAGGGAAAAATTGGTCAAGCAAAAATGAATATATATGTTTATTGCATATGCTTAATATCAACATGGGAAAACCACTAAATGATGAAAAATAAAGAATTAATTGAATAACCCGCATACTGAAATACTTTGGAAGCATTGAATATTATAATTAGTTTTTTGTTTGCTTGTCTGTTTGTTTTGAGACAGAGTCTTGCTCTGTCACTTGGGCTCAAGTGCAGCGGCATGATCTCGGCTCACTGCAACCTCTGCCTCCGAGGTTCAAGCGATTCTCCTGCCTCAGTCTCCAGAGTAACTGGAATTACAGGCATGCACCACCATGCCTGGGTAATTTTTGTATTTTTTCAGTAGAGATGGGGTCTCACCATGTTGGCCATGCTGGTCTTGAATTCCTGTCCTCAGGAGATCTGACCATCTTGGCCTCCCAAAGTGCTGGGATTACAAGCAAATATTATAATGAGTTTTTATAAAATAAACTATTGCACAAAAAAAAGTTAAAAAATAGTATATGTAATATGATCATATTTACATGTATGAATTCTTAGAGAAAGTTTGGAAGGTTGTTTACTAAGATATTTTAAAATTGATTATGTCTATATTGTGGGGCTAGAGGCAATTTTTGTTTTTGCTTAGTTACATTTTCTATTTTGCGAAATAAAAAATTGTAATTTTAAAATTAATAATAGAGGGAAATGAAAATTTCTTGATTTTCCATTTCAAAGTAAAAGACAATTTCAGTGACGTAAAAAATAAATGGGTGTTAGCATAGTTTGAGTAATTTAGGTTTATTTCTTTAAAATATATGCAAAATATGACACATCAGTTAGAAAAAGAAAAAAAAAGTGACCTGTGTGTGTAGGCTTGTGTATGTATGTGAATACACATATATTTACATATACATTGTATGTGTACAACTCTCCCCTTGTTTTTTTTCAGATTTTACATTATAGTTAGTTTTAACTAAATGCCAGCTTTTTTCCCAATTACCAAGCCACTGAATTACATAAAAAGTATAAAATGGAGCATAGCTATAGTGCGTCCGGAATATACATGAGCCAAAGAACCTTGCAGTTCCGAGTGAGAAGAGAATTACAGTGCTAGTCTCAAAAGACCCTTGAACACACATCACTCATTTTGAAATATAGCACTTGAAGAAAGCAAAATAAGACTTTGAAAGGTTTATTGGAAGATATTGCCAGTATCTTGTGGAATAAAATCTACCATGTTTCCAAATATTTATAATAACTGACATACAAAATGAATACAACTATCTAAATCCAAATAACTTTTGATTTAAAAGGAAAACATAAAGAGGTGCATGAGGGAATCACAGAATGTCAAATCTGGAATGTCCTAAAGATCATCTAGTTTTAATCTTACATTTTATAAATATGACAAGCTGGAAACCATGATGCAAAATGACTCACCTGAAGTTCTGCAGCTCATTGAGGGAAAATTCAAGACCAGATTGCCTGACTCACAGTCTTTGGTTTTGTTGTTAAGCTACACTGCTAAAGCAACCACAGATGAGCTCAGTACTCCTTGGATTTTCCTCCCTGTGGGTCTGGAGAAACAATGATTTGGCTTGTGCTGTCAAATAATAGATACAGCCTTTGAGTCAAGTAAACTACTTTTCTCACAGTTTATTAACTATGTAACTTTGGACACATTAGTTAAGCTCTCTGAGCCTCACTTTCCTCATGTTTTAAATATTTAAATAATATCTCCATAAAAATATTGTGAAACCTTTATGTTTTGGAGATTACATGTATGAAGAGAACCTCATATATACCAGGTTTAAAGCAGATTGGCCAATTTCCAGTCTTACCAGACAATCTTGCACAGAACTAAAACTGATCAACCTGTCAGCTTAAGAATACTAATAAGCTAATTGCCTTCAGCATTCTTTTTTAGATGGCCCTTAAATTTTGTCTAGGATACAAGAAACTGATTCTTAATTCTCCATTTACTGTATTTAGTCGCCTCTTTTATTTTATTTAAGACAATCTGACTTTTTATTACAATGGGAAGGGAGATAACATAGACATTCTTTCAACCATGTTTTGTCTAAATTTCCAGAGTGTGCATTTCATCTTTTCACTCTAGAAGATAATGTATGTGGGCATTTCTTTTATTAGGCTTCAGAATCTTTTTTCTTTTTTCTTTTTTCTTTTTTCTGAGACAGAATCTCGCTCTGTCACCCAGGCTGGAGTGTGGTGGTGCAATCATGGCTCACCACAACCTCTGCCTCCCCAGTTCAAGTGATTCTGTTGCCTCAGCCTCCCAAGTAGCTGGGACTACAGGCACTCACTACCATGCCTGGCTAATTTTTGCATTTTTGGTAGAGATAAGGTTTCACCATGTTGGCCAGGCTGGTCTTGAACTCCTGACCTCAAGTGATCTGCCCACCTCGGCCTTCCAAAGTGCTGGGATTTACAGGTGTAAGCCACCATGCCCGGCCAGGTTTCCTAATCATTTAAATTAGCTTAATTTCTATTTGCTTCAAGACGGTTTATCTACAATGTATGTTTCACTGTCGTTATTTAAAACTACACATAAATTAATAGTAATATTCTACTTATAGAGGCGATTAATCATTATTAATATCTGGGGAGACTTATTTATACTATTTCTTGAGATTAAACTATTTTAAGATCTCATTTTGATCAGTAAAAGTTTATTATATAGCTTAGGTAGTATCTCTCAGGCTCCAACCACCACCTCAGGGTTGTATATCCCATTAGAATCAAGGAAATGGAACACAACCTCAGAGAGACCTTAAAAGTACAATGCTGAAAGCAAAAGGCATTTTCAACAGTCCAATAAATCATAATGAGGTTCCATCATCAGGGTTTTCAAAAACCACCAGAATAACCCCTTAGCACCAAGAGTACCCTTTTAGCATAGAAAGGGAAGTACTTAATGGGATGAAAAAAGCTGTGGGTTCCATTGTGAATAGATCATTCTAGGAAGTGCTTAGATGGGAAATACTGAGTAGAAGCTACCAGGAAACAGATTTCAGCCTGTAAAATGAAGAACACTTAAATATTCAGAACTTTTTAACGCTGCCAAGGAAATGGTGAATTCTTTGGCACGCAGCTCTTCATGAAAAGATTGGTATATTTAAACCTGCTCCATCATTTCCCTAAAATATGAAAAATTTCCTTATTCAATTTATTTTAGGGAAAAATGACAAAATATAGTATTAAAAGTGATTCTTAGATTACAAGAACTTTGAAATCCTCTTTACTATGATATTAAAAGTAATTTGCAATGTTAAAATATAATACTGTTTAACGTGTATTTCAAAAATCAGCTATTGATTTAGTACAAGAAAATAAATAGCTTTAAGTTTGACTGTGCAATGATCTTTAAAACCATGATTTTTGTAGACATTAACCTGATATTGTGTTAAAATTAAAATAACCATTACATTTTAAAATTAAATCAATTAAAGCAATTATAATATTTTAACTAATTTCTTAGGTTTGTTAATTTCTTAGTTTTAGCTAATTAGATTAGCTTTAACTAATTTCTTAAATTAGTGGCAAGCCCAATAAATCCAATGCAAGTCTTTATGTTTATCTTTCTGTGTTGAGCACATATATGCATGCACGTGTATTTTGCAGTTGGATACTGAATAAATATAAGAAATGCTCCATAGATAATGACAGGATTTAGAGAAGGAAAATGTAATAAAACAGAATTGTGATGCATACTTATTTAATTAACTGTATTATTTCCAGAAAAATTCTGTCAATTAAAATAATGGTTTAAAATAGTAAAATAATAAAAACAATAATATTTAAATTGATATTTATTAAAATATTTGCATATATTGCTTATAAAACATATTATTATTACATGAAGAGGAGTGAAGTCAGGAGTGGATTTTGAAAGGAAATTCAGGACACATAACTTCCCTGTAAGATAACATACTGAGAGCTTAGATCAAATTGTTGTAGTGCTTGAAATGTTTAAACCTGGATGATTAATATAAGTTCTCTGGGGTTCAGTGTCCTCATTTTTATAACAAGTATGTTCAACCTTCAGATGAAATTTCAAGCTAACAAACAACAAACAAAAATAAACCAAAGCAAAACAACTGAAAATCTTACAATAAACAAAAAAGTCTACTATATTTATTATACCAAATCAATATATACTATATGTGTCACAACAAAACAACAAAAAAGCTTCCTGTACTTATTATGTCAATTCAATTCATCCTATGTGTCTGGTGTCTTGGTGCTGAGGATACGGTGATTTTTTTAAAAGATAACAAAAATGAATGACAACAACAAAACAGCCAGCTTCCTGACCTCATAGAGCTTTCCTTCATTGGGTCCCCTGACTTAATTTTATACCAGCTTTTTCCAAAAGATAAATAACTGGATACCAATGTTTTAACTGATAATGCAATCTCTGGGCTTGAAAACCATTTTAGTTTGAAATGTGTGCATTAAAACAATTGTTTAACTTGACCTAAATATGTATTCAAATCATATGAATTCATGGCCTTTATGCTCACAAAAGATATTTTCACACCTGGTAATATATAGTTATTATATATTGTAGTAGAAAATTTTAAAAATATTCAACAATGAAGAAGACCTTCCTGGGTTAATGACTCTGCAATGTGACCTTGCTGATACAGCCATAATGGAGTGAATTCTATTTATTCACCTTCTTGTACCTGGGATGATCTTGATTTCTTCCTTTAGTGAACAGAATGTGACAGATGTGATGTTGGGTTATTTCTGGAGTTTAGCACAAGAAGCCTTGGAGCTTCTCCTCTCTACATCTTAGAACCTCAAGGCTACCATGTTGGAATGGAGTTCAATCAGGCCTATGTGAGGTTGACAGGAAAATCAAAATTCCCCAGCTGAGAAGTTGTACTAATTTCTAGGCATATGGGCCATCCAGCCCAGGCCCCCTTCAGCTGAGTGGAGTCCCATGGTGAGCCCAGGCAAAACCAAAAGAGGAGTTACTCAACCAACCCACAGATTTGGTTGAAATAGTAAATTATCATTGATTTAAGGCACCAAAACTTTGAGTGGTTAGTTGTATCGCATTAGATGACTGATTTTCCTTATTTTACTAGATCATTTCCTTATTTTACTAGATCATATAATAGGGCACAAGAAGTTGTAGTCATTGAAAATAAATGCAGAATTTATTGATTTTTAGAATGACACCATAAACATATAACTCTACTGAGATGCACAATAGCAAAAGTGAAAAAGAGGCTATCCATCAGCAAAATGGAATGTGAACAGTTTTATGACTTGTTGAACGTATATATTTAGTTGGTATACTTGAATGAATAAAACATATAATGAAGTATTCCATTATCTTACACAACTGTGCAGGATGTCTACAAAAAAAGTAAATTTGAAGAGTGAAGGCAATTATCCTTTTAAAACAGATAGTTCAAAACCTCCTTAATTAAGGAAAGAGAAGAGGTGTAGAATGAGTCAAGATTGCAATCACAGCATAATTAATCCTCTAATTCTTTGACAACTGGACTGTAATGACTTAGGTTAAAGCACAGAACTCCATACTAATACAATTTATAACCCCCCTTTTAGAAGATTTTAGGTCCTTAGATGATTGAATACAACAAATGTGGATTCCTATTTATTGTTTTCCATGCATTATAGAAAACTATTTATATTTAATCAATATTTTACAGGTACATTGACTCCTACAATTTACTTCTTTCTAAAGCAAGTGTTCAAGTGTTCTCTTCTCATGGATATTAACAGAACATGATAGAATGACTTTCACTTTCAATTTTCTAGACATTTTGAAGGCTGCTCTATGGAAGCATCCATTAGACTGAATATTTCTAAGGTCCAGATGCAATCTCATTTATCACTGTGTTCCTTGGGGCCAACATTTTGCAGTTCTGTAGAAGAAGGTAGTTTTTCAATAAATGTTGTCCTGTTGAATGAATGATTATAAGACTGTAGTAAATCTGAATCTTTATAATTCAGATTCTTAGTAGCTATATGATTCTGGACTAATGTGATCTGTCCTCTCCTATGTCTTTTCCATAGCATAACAAGAAAAATGTTGACTCCCACAGTTTGCCTAGGCAAAGTTGAATGTATTACATGACTGCCTTTGTATAAAAATCATTGAAGAAAAAATTATTTTCAAAGTACATGTGCTCATTATGTTTATCAAAATTCTGACATACAATTATATTATTAAAGGAGAATCAGTAGAAAAATGGTAGAAAATTGTGTGTAAAGTATAACACTTACATTGCAGTGGAAAAATCTTTGCAAAAAGTCTGGAACGGATTAAAGGGAAGCCAGATATTTTTCCACTACTGTGGCACTTTCCATGGCCATGCTCACTGTCTCAGGATTACTGAGCTCTTATTCCTCCTTTGCATGGTCCATGTACCTAACTCCTTTGTCTTCAGCATGAGAGAACACAGGGGCATACTGAACAGAGAGAAAGAAGAACTTTACGGAACCCATTATCTTGCACTGTTCTTTGACTTTGAAATGATTTCTCCAATGGATAAGTTTTAAAATATTTTTTTCAGAGTGTATTGATTTTCAAAAGTACTTTGTGGTTTCCTTGTAGAAAATGCACTTAGTACTAATAGCATGCTTAAACTTTGCCTCTGATGTTACAGAAACAGACCATTTTTTCCAGAAATAAAGACAGACATATTTTTATTTTAGAATAGGCTCTCTTTTTTTCCCCATGTGTTTATTTTTGGCTAGAGGCTTACCACCTTTTACATTTTATTATTTAAAATAAAGTAGCCTGTAAGCTAAAAAACTAAAAATAAATAAACAAAAAGAATAATAGTAGTAAAAATGAAAATTACTAAGTATAATTGATAATTGTAACAAAAAATATAAAAATTATCTTCAAATATTTGGACATAGGATAGTTGAAATATGCATTCAAAATGTCTTCAAGGCTGGGCGTGGTGGCTCATGCCTGTAATCCCAGCATTTTGGGAGGCCAAGACAAACAGATCACCGGAGGTCAGGAGTTTGAGAACAGCCTGACCAACATGGTGAAAACCCATCTCTACTAAAAATACAAAAAAATCAGCCAGGCTTGGTGGCACATGCCTGTAATCCTAGCCACTCGGGAGGCTGAAGCAGGAGAATCGCTTGAACCCGGGAGGCGGAGGTTGCAGTGAGCTGAGATCACGCCATTGCACTCCAGCCTGGGCAACAAAGAGCAAAACTCCATCTCAAAAAGAAAAAAAAAAAGTCTTTGATTATTGTGTAGACTTTATCAGTTTATTTTATTGCCAAATATCTAAAATATTTATGTTATTACATATTTTAGTAAAATAAAAATATACAGCAGCCAAATGTGATTGAGTCTGCTGTTATGTGATTAATTTTGTTTTTTGTTAGATATAACATTTTTATATAGGAAATTTCAGCATCGGGTATTGAAATATATAAGGCAAAGCAAAGGCATTTTGAATTGCCATTTTCTGGATTAATGCTTTCTAAGATTCCTTAGTATCATGCTATACCTGATCACACAGCATGTACTCCTTAATCAACCTGACTGTGGAAGAAATACAGAAGTATAATTACGGTTGTTCCTTCTACTTCTTTTCCTGGGTAATTCATTCTTACAGTAATTACATGGACTGAGCAAGGTAGGTTTACTTGTGGAGGGGAAGCCTGATAGGGGGAACCAAAGCTCAATCGAGGTAATAAAGCTGTCTGTACTGGGGACAACATGCTTACACTGAAATATTTCAGAAAAAGAAAGTTCCTTGTACTGTACTTGGCAACTCTTCTATAAGTTTGAGATTGTTTCAAAATGAAGAAACAATATTGCAAAGAAACTTGTGCTTTTTTAATAACAGTAAAATAAAAAACAATCAAATTTTAAAATTTCAAGTTATTACCTAGATTGTAGATTGGATACGCTCAATAAAACTTCTCATCAAAGTGATTTTTTTCAAAATCTGTTACAAATTCTTGTTTAGATACTGTGAAGATGACAGAAATCACTATTGATTGTGGATTTTTCTGTATCCTTGTACAGTAAGATTGGTAAACAGTTCAAATAAATACTGACCTACTGAACACCATAAACTATTAACTTTCAATATGTAAAACACAACTCAGAAGTCTAGTTAGGGCACAATCTTTTGGGAGAAAATTCTAATGATAACCTTTGGCTTAGAAGTTTATTTCTTTTAGATAGTCTTATTTTCTCTAACAGTCACTTTGTGTTTTGTATGCAGAAATAAAACTGTTAGAATGATTAAAGACTTAAGAGATGGCTTAAAGTAGATCATTGTACTGTGAAATGATGGTCTTCAGTGAAATGAATTACAAAAATGAGTATTTAGCATGGATAATCTTCTCTTGACTTTGAAGTATTATAGGAACAAAAGCATCTTACTTCTATATCAGTATTTATTTGAGAAGAAGTTATCCTCACAAGTAAACTCGACTCTATAATCTTTCTAAAAATGAGGCAGTTTCATAGGAGTCTGACCACTTACTTATACTTTTGTTATGAACCTACTTATGGATTTTATATTTTTTCAGAGTTAAAATGGTTTTATGTATATAGTAATTGGTAGGGAGCTTAATAACTTATTTTTCGAAAGTGCTTTTAGCTTTATTATTTGCTCGAAGAAATTAACCTGAGAGTAAAAAGAGATGAATTATAAAATTTGTGCTAAAGCATGTAATCAACACTATGGATTTAAATAGCATTCATATATGTAAGTGAAGTGAATGGGAAGTTTTAAGCTGTTTGTTTCCATTTTCTGTAATTCCCTGCTTAGTAAGGTAAGTTAGTGTTTTGTTTGTTTTAGTAAATATTCAATGCCTTTTCTCCACATTTACATGGGAGAGTATATGTTTCTATCCTAACGATGCTGGGCTTGGCTACACAATCCCTCCGTCCCTCCCTCCCCTCTCCCCCTCCCTCCCTCCCTCCCTCCCTTCCTTCCTTCCTTCCTTCCTTCCTTCCTTCCTTCCTTCCTTCCTTCCTTCCCTTCTGTTAGGAAACTGGGATCTTGCCTTATCACCCAGGCTGTTAGTGCAGTGGCACCATCACAGCTCACTGCAGCCTAGATCTTCCAGACTCAATTAATCCTCCCTCCTCAGCCTCCCAAGTAGCCACGACTACAGGCATGAACCACCATGCCTGGCTAATTTTTTGTATTTGTAGAGATGAGCTCTCACTATGTTACCCAGGGGGGCCTGGAACTCCTGGGCTCAAGCAGTCTTCCTGTGTTGGCCTCGTAAAATTTGGGATTACAGGCGTGAGCCACTGTGCCCATCCACAACTTTCTTTCGTTAGTAGGATGTTAGTGGATGTGATGCAAGTAATGGTGTGAAAAATGTTTGTAAGATTGGGCTTGCTCTCTTGTGCTTCTACCTTCTGCCATAAGAACATGTCTTGGACCGCTTATAGCCCAAGGAAGATGAGAAGCTTGTAAAGCATGTCTCAACTTGACCTGAGGCTTAGACCTAAGATCAACAAACCCAGCCTACATTAGCTGAACCCCAGCCAGTTGGCATATGTGGGAGCTAGAAATAAATGTGTGTTGTTTTAAACCAGTGAGATTTTGCAATTGCTTATGACACAGTGTGGTAGGCAGCATATGGCCCACCAAAGAGGTTCATTTCCATATCCCTGGAACCTGTGAATGTTACATGACATAGCAAATGGGAATTAAGGCTTGTAGATGGAATTAAGATTACTAATCATTTAACCTTAAAATAGGGAGATTAATCTGGATTTTCCAGCTGGGCCCAATATAATCACAAGGGCACTTAAAGAAAAAAAAAAAAGATTTGATTATCGAGAACCATCGAGATGGCAGCTTGAGAAAGAGTCAGCCTGCTGTTGCTGGATTTTAATGTGTAGAAAGGCAGTCATGAGCCAAGGAGGGTGGGCAGTCTCTGGGAGAAGGAAACGGATTATCCTCAGGAGCTTCCAGAAGGAATTGAGCCCTAATAACACCTGATTTTAGCCCAGTGATACTTATTTTAAACTTCTGACCTTTAGAGTTACAAGACAATACATTTGTGTTGTTTTAAGACATTCAGTTAACAGTAATTTGTTATAGCAAAAGTATGAAATGTTATAAAATGCACAGAAATAGTTAGTACCACAAAATTAGCACTGATGTGATACCACAAAAGTATTTGGGGATGGGTGGTCAGTGAGAAAATAGTTACAGGAACCTGGAAAATTTTTAAGGAAACTGTTATAGGTGCTGGAAAGATGGTAAACTGTATGTAATGGTGTACATTCCATCGCTTTCGTGATAGAAAGACAGAAAATATACCTAATGAATTTTAGAGCAATATGAAGATATTTCAAGTCAAAATGTTGAAAGTATGAGCTGGTTATTGTTAATTATGGTATTACAAAAAAGAGACAAAATCAGAAAAAGAAAGGTCACTTTGCAAACAGAATTAAGAAGGAATGGCCGGGTGTGGTAGCTCACGCCTGTAATCCCAGCACTTCGGGAGGCCGAGGCAGGCGGATCACGAGGTCAAGAGATCGAGACCATCCTGGCTAACATGGTGAAACCCTGTCTCTACTAAAAAATGCAAAAATTAGCTGGGCATGGTGGCGTACACCTGTAGTCCCAGGTACTTGGGAGGCTGAGGCAGGAGAAACGCTTCAGCCTGGGAGGCGGAGGTTGCAGTCAGCGGAGATCACACCACTGCATTTCAGCCTGGAAACAGAGCAAGACTCCATCTAAAAACAAACAAACAAACAAACAAACAAACAAAAAAGAAGGAATATAGGCAGCCCCAAATTTCCAACTTGCATGATTAGAACATATGAGCTATTTCTTACAAAATCAAGGATGTACTGCACTCCACCCATTAGAACAGAGTCCTAGAAAAAAAGACCAAGTCCAGGATGCTACCAGTAAGACCTTAGGGTAAATACCAAATCAAGGCTGTGGTTGTAGCAGGTTTGCTAAGATTGCTAAAAATATTTAGGTCATATCTAGTTAATTTTTTAAGCTAGGCCAAAAGGCTAAAATGGTTAAGGTTATGGCCCCAGAGAAGGCTGATGTGGTCAAAGTACCTGTAAATAAGTCAAAAGAGGTAGGTATATATAAAGATTAATTTTATGTGTCAACTTGGGTGAACCATGGGATCAAAATATTTAGTCAATTATCATTCTGAATGTTTCTGTGAGGGTTTTTTTTTAAAAATGAGAGTAACATTTATGCCTGTGGACTTCGAGTAAAACAAATTACACTCCATAACATGAGTGGGTCTCATCAGATCATTTGAGGGCATCATAGAACAAAGACTGACCTCCTCTGAGCAAGAAAGAATTCTGCTGGCCGACCGCCTGTGGACTTGAATTGTACTTCTTTCTTGGGTCTCCAGCTTGCTGTACTACTCTGCAGATTTTGGGCTTACCCAGCCTCCCCAATCATATGAACCAGTTTCTTAAAATAATTTTTCTCCCCGCCCCACCACGTTAATTCTGTTTCTCTGGAAAAGTCTAATAAGCTACGTCTAGCAAAAGCTATGGATGTGGCTTTTGGCAAGTAGATTTTACTAAATCAAATAAATAAACCACAAAACTTGTGGGAGAACTCCAAATATCTATACTATAACCACTTACTTACAGGTTAAAAAGTTTTCCTTTGGAGAGAATAAATATAAAGATTCTGCTTTGAAAGACATCACGTATAGTTAGTAGTAAACATACCATGTCAAAAACATGGTGAAAGTTCATATGAGACCTCTTAGACCTATTCTATCAGCTTCCCAAGCCCTGGCATTTAGAATTATAAGCTTTCAAGAAGAATATTGGAAAAGTGTTTTTTGGGGAACCTGATCAGAGTAAAATAAAGTATCTAATTCAAAACATGGTTTCCCCAAATTAAATGGAAGTCAGGTCATTCTAAAGTGAAGCTTATGGTGCTAAAGCACACACAAAGGCCCTAAATTTTTCAATCAGTTTTATACTGGAATACTCTTAAATATCTCATAAGGGCCATCCATCCAATGATTGGAATTTGAGAGAAAAGCTTATCTTGTGAGAGGTAGAAACCAAGATAGCAAACAGAGAAAAGACAGTTTAAGAAACAAAGAATACGCAGAGAGAATAAAACTTCTTAAAGAACTATAATTATTATTTGAAAAGACAAAGTAACTTATTCTAGCCATAAATGAAGAATAAGATGCTATATAAAATAAAGAACAAGAAGTGAACAAAAAATTGAACTGCAAAAAAAATGCAATAGTGAAAGGAAGAAAATTGAAACAGAAAAGTTTATTATAAATCTTGGACCATAGAACATAAGACCCAAGAATTAAAAAAAAAAAAATTGGAGAGAAAGGGCAAGACAATGAAAGGACTAGCCCAGTGCTCCAATATCTAATTTAAAAAATTGTTGGTACATAATGCATGTATATATTTAGTGATTACATGAAATGTTTTGATACAGGCATGCAATGCATAATAATCACATCTGGGTAAATGGAATATCCATCACCTCAAGCATTTATTCTTTGTGTTTAAAACAATTCAGTTATACTCTTTTAGTTATTTTAAAATAATTATTTTTACTAGAATCCTCCCACTGTGCTATCAAATAGTAGGTCTTATTTATTCTTTCTGACTATTGTTTGTACCCATTAACCATTTCCACTCCCCTCTCCCAGACTTCACCCACTGACTACCCTTCCAGGGGCTGAACCATCCTTCTATTCTCTGTTGCTAAGAGTTCCAACCATTTTAATTTTTAGCTCCCACAGATAAGTGAGAACACGTGATGTTTGTCTTTCTGTGCTTGGCTTATTTCACTTAACATAATGACCTCTAGTTCCATCCATTTTGTTGTAAATGACAGGATCTCATTCTTTTTATGGCTGAATAGTACTCCATTGTGTATAAGTACCATATTTTCTTTATCCATTCATCCTTTGATGGATAGTTAGGTTGCTTCCAAATTTTGGCTTCTGTGTACAGTGATGCAACAAACACAGGAGTGTAGATATCTCTTTGGTATACTGACTTCTTTTCTATTTTTTTTTATTTTTTTTAAATTATACTTTAAGTCTAGAGTACATGTGCACAATATGCAGGGTTGTTACATATGTATACATGTGCCATGTTGGTGTGCTGTACCCATTAACTCATTTACATTAGGTATATCTCCTAATGCTACCCCTCCCCCCTGCCCCCACCCCACGACAGGCCCCAGTGCGTGATGTTCCCCACCCTGTGTCCAAGTATTCTTATTGTTCAGTTCCCACCTGTGAGTGAGAACATGCGGTGTTTGGTTTTCTGTCCTTGTGATAGTTTGCTGAGAATGATGGTTTCTAGCTTCATCCATGTCCCTACAAAGGACATGAACTCATCCTTTTTATGGCTGCATAGTATTCCATGGTGTATATGTGCCACATTTTCTTAACCCAGGCTATCACCGATGGACATTTGGGTTGGTTCCAAACTGACTTCCTTTCTTTTGGGTATATATCCCGCAGTGAGATTGCTGGATCATAGGATACCTCTATTTTTAGTTTCTTGAGGAACTCACAAAGTGTTCTCCATAGTGGTTGCACTAACTTTTATTCCCACCAACAGTATATGAGGGTTCCTTTTTCTCCATGTTATTGACAGCATTTTTTATTGCCTGTCTTTTGGATATAAGCCATTTTAACTGCAGTGAGATGGTATCTCATTGTAGTTTTGACTTTCATTTCTCTGATTATCAATGACTTTGAGCAACTTTTCATATACCTGTTTGACATCTGCATGTCATCCATTGAGAAATGTTTATTCAAATCTTCTGCCCATTTTTAAATCAGATTATTAGATTTTTTTCTATAGAGTTGTTTGAGCTACACATATATTCTGGTTATTAATCCCTTGTCAGATGGATAGTTTGAAAATATTTTCTCCCATTCTGTGGTTATTTCTTCACTTTGTTGATTGTTTCCTTAACTGTGAAGAAACTGTTTAACTTGATGTGATCTCATTCATCTATTTTTGCTTTGGTTGCCTATTTCTGTTGAGTATTACTCAAGAAATTATTGCCCAGTCCGATGTCCTAGAAAGTTTTGTCACAGTTTTCTTTTAGTAGTTTTATAGTTTGAGGTCTTAGATTTAAGTCTTTAATCCATTTTGATTTTTTTATATGATAAGAGATAGATTTCAAGTTTCATTCTTCCACATATGGATATCCAGTTTTCCTAGTACCATTTATTGAAGTGGCTGTCCTTTTCCAATGTATGTTCTTAGAACTTTTATCAAAAATGAGTTCACCATAGATGTAAGGATTTATTTCCAGGTTCTTTATTCTGTTCCACTGGTGTGTGTGTTTGATTTTGTGTCAGTACCATGTTGTTTTGGTTCCTATAATTCTATAATATAATTTGAAGTCAGGCAATGTGATCTCTCCAGTTTTGTTCTTTTTCCTTAGAACAGTTTTGGATATTCTGGGTCTTTTGTGGTTCCATGTAAATTTTAGGAATGTTTTTTCTACTTCTGTGAAGAATGTCATTGCTATTTTGATAAAAATTGCATTCAATCTGTAGATTCCTTTGAGAAGTATGGATATTTTAACAATATTATTTTTTGAAACCATGAATATGGGTTATCTTTTCATTTTTTTGTGTCCTCTTCAGTTTCTTGCATCAATGTTGTATAGTTTTCATTGTAGAAAAACTTCATTTCTTTGGTTAAGTCCTAAATATTTTATTTTATTGGTAGCTATTGTAAATGGGATTATTTTCTTGATTTTTTTCAGATTGTTCACTGTTGACATATAGAAGTACTACTGATTGGCCAGACATAGTGGCTCATGCCTGGAATCCCAGCACTTTGGGAGGCCAAGGCAGGTGGATCACTTGAGCCCAGAAGTTTGAGACCAGCCTGGGCAACATGATGAAACCCCATCTCTACAAAATAAATAGAAAAATTAGCTGGGTATGGTGGCATGTGCCAGTAGTCCCAGCTACATGGGAGCCTGAGGTGGGAGGACGACTTGAGCCCAGGAGGTGGAGGTTACAGTGAGCTGAGATCATGCCACTGCACTCCAGCCTGGGTGACAGAGTGGGACTCTGTCTAAAAAAAAAATTGTATTATCTGTAAACGGAAATATAAATAATTTAACTTCTTCTTTTCCAATTTGGATTCCCTTTATTTCTTTCACCTGTATGATTGCTTTAGCTAGAGCTTCCGGTAATATGTTGAATAACAGTGATGACCAGTGGGCATCCTTGCTGTGTTCCAGATCTTAGAGAAAAGACTTTCAGTTTTTTTCCCCATTTAGTATATGAGCTGTGGACCTGTAATATATGGCTTTTATTATGTTGAGGTATGTTACTTCTATACCTAGTTTTCTTAGGTTTTGTTTTTTTTTATCATGGGGGGATGTTGAATCAATTGAAATGATCATATGGTTTTTGTCCTTCATTCTGTTGATATGATTTATCACATTGACTGATTTGCATATGTTTAACCATTCTTGCACCCCTGAGATAAATGTCACTTCATCATGATGAATCAAACTTTTAATATGTTGTTGAATTTGTTTGCTAGTATTTTGTTGAGAATTTTTGGATCCATATTCATCAGTGATATTGGCCTGTAGTTTCCCTTTTTTGATATGTTTTTGACTGGTTTTGGTACCAGGGTAATACAGGCCTCATAGAAGAATGAGCTTGAAAGTATGCCATCCTCCTCTATTTTTTGAGATAGTTTGCATAGGATTGGGATTAATTCTTCTTTAAATGTTTGGTAGAACTTAGCAGTGAAGCCATGGAATCACAGCTTTCCTTGACTGGAAGACATTTTATTACAGCTTCAATCTTGTTACTTGTTATTGGTCTGCTCAGGCTTTGGATTTCTTCATGGTTCAATGTTGATAGGTTGTATGTGTCTAGGAATTTGTTCATTTCTTCTAGATTTTCTAATTCTTTGGCCTGTATAATTCCTCATAGTATCCACTAATGATCTTCTGAGTTTCTACAGTATCAGTTGTAAAGACTCATTTTTCATCTCTGATTTTATTTATTTGGGTATTCTCTTTTTTGTTAGTTAGCTTTCTCAATTTTGTTTAACTTTTCAAAAAACCAGCTTTTTTATTATTATTATAGTTTAAGTTCTAGGGTACATGTGCACAACGTACAGGTTTGTTACATATGTATACATGCAGCTCGTCATTTACATTAGGTATATCTCCTAATGCTATCCCTCTCCCTTCCCCCCTCCCCATGACAGGCCCCAGTGTGTGATGTTCCCCTTCCTGTGTCCAAGTGTTCTCATTGTTCAATTCCCACTTATGAGTGAGAACACGCAGTGTTTGGTTCTCTGTCCTTGCGATAGTTTGCTGAGAATGATGGTTTCCAACTTCACCCATGTCCCTACAAAGGACATGAACTCATCCTTTTTTATGGCTGCATAGTATTCCATGGTGTATATGTGCCACATTTTCTTAATCTAGTCTATCATTGATGGACATTTGGGTTGGTTCCAAGTCTTTGCTATTGTGAATAGTGCCGCAATAAACATACGTGTGCATGTGTCTTTATAGCAGCATGATTTATAATCCTTTGGGTATATATCCAGTAATGGAATGGCTGGGTCAAATGGTATTTCTAGTTCTAGATCCTTGAGGAATCGCCACACTGTCTTCCACGATGGCTGAACTAGTTTACAGTCCCACCAACAATGTAAAAGTGTTCCTATTTCTCCACATCCTCTCCAGCACCTGTTGTTTCCTGACTTTTTAATGATCACCATTCTAACTGGTGTGAGATGGTTATCTCATTGTGGTTTTGATTTGCATTTCTCTAATGGCCAGTGATGATGAGCATTTTTTCATGTGTCTGTTGGCTTCATAAATGTCTTCTTTTGAGAAGCGTCTGTTCATATCCTTCGCCCACTTCATGATGGGGTTGTTTGTTCAAAAAACCAGCTTTTTGTGTTATTGACCCTGAATAACCAGCAGTGATAGGTAAGTATCACAGGTTTTGGGTGAGACTCTGAAACTTGTTGGCTTCAGGTGAAACTCAGTACATTCCCAGCAGTGGTGGCTATGGAGACAGACTCCTTCTACTTGAGAAAAGCAGAGGGAAAAGAATAGGGGACTTTGTCTTGCACCATAGCTATCAGCTCTGCCACACGGGGATATATTGAGCAGCAAGTGCGTGCTTTACCCTGCTATGGCTGAGCTGGTATCCAAGATGCAAGACAAAGTCCTCTCCACTCTTCACTCTCCTATCAAGTGGGAAAAAAAAGGTGTCTTCTTTGGAGCTGCAAGATATGCAGCCCGGGATTAATGGAGGGGTGGCACCAGCACTTCCTCAGCCATCCTGGTTGGTGTTTCAGTAGCTCACATGCCCGCTCCTCCCCATCCCCCACACAATCCACTGGCTCTAAGCCCAGTTCAGCCCTAGGAATTGCCTAGGAGATGCAGTCGTTGTGGCCCTAGACTGCCTTTCAGTTTATTCAGCACTTTCACAGAGCACTCCAGCCCAAGGTGGTGAGGCTTGTCAGAACTCAAATTCTGACTGCTGGGATGGATGATTCCCTTCTTGCTAGTACTGGCTTAAATGCTCTCTCCATGGGCAGGCATCAGCTGAGTTTGTTCCAGTTTTGCTTTCTTCTGTAACAAGGCAGCACTAAGTACTAAATTCAATGCACTATGTCACAATTACAGTATTCTCCCTCTCCCAAGTGCACAGATTATCTCTCTGTGCCACATGGCCACTGTTGGAGGATGAAAAAGGGATGGCATTGGCAATTCAAAACTGTTTGTCCTACTTCTTCAGTGCCTTTTTCAATCATACGAACTTATAGCCGAGTACTATGAGTGCTCACCTGATTTTTGGTTCTAAATACTTTTTTCTCTTTGTTTTTTTTTTTTTTTTTTTTTTTTGTAGATAGTTGTTAAATTGGTGTCCTTGTAGAAGGGGCAATTGGTGAAATCTCCTATTCCACCATCTTGCTTTGTTACTCTCTCCATATCTAAATTTTAAAAATTCCAGCAGTTTAAGAGAAGAGAGAGGAGAAAAATATTTTAAAATTATAAGAAAATTTCCAAATCTTCAGGTCAGCAATTTTCAAATTATTAGTACTCACGAGGGTCTAGGAGAAAGAAAGAAGTGGACTCACCACAACACATCACTGTGGCATATTTTATTACTGGGAACAATAAGAACATTCTATAAAATAAGAAGAAAAGATATCACATAATTTCATACAAACAAACTGAGAATTAGGAGACTACTAGAGTTCTTAACAGAAATAATTTAAACTTGAAAAGAACAGAAAAATGCCTTCAAAAATCTGAGGAGAAATTATTTTCTACTTAGAATTATATGCCCAGCAAAATTATGAATACATGTGAATCTAGAATAAAGATAACTTCTGAACATTCTTGGTTTCAAAGATGTATCTCCCATGCATCATTTTAAAGAAAATTATAAGAAAATATACTTCACTAAAATAAGGGAGTAATCTAAGAAAAGGGAGTATTCTGATATTCAAGAAATCATGGCTTTAATCTAAGAGAGGTAATGGGACTCTGCAAAATGATAGTGAAGAAGTAATGTCAAATAATACCTGTGAAATAAACCTACAGATCAATTTATTTAAATTGGGTCAAATAAAAATGGGTAGGAGATATTTCCTCAAAAAGATAAAAAAAAGAATACTTAATCTATAGAAATATTGGATGGAGATTTATACAACTGGGGGAGGGTTGCAGATTGAATTAGTGATTAAAAACAAAGACAAAATGAAGCAATTATTAATCTATAAATACAAAAATTATGTAGGAAAATGACTGTGGATTATTATATGCTTTGTTATGAAAATAGTTTAAATAATATTAATAATATACACACTGAGTATTGGTTTAACCAAATGTTTTATTTAACTATATTAGGATGATAGAAAAGTAGAAGGTGTTTATATAAATGCTGTGTGAGAAGAGACGAGGGTCCTTAAAGAAAGCTAAATTCTTATCTTTTCTAGTGGAAATAGATAACCCCTAAACTGGTAAATGAAGAAAATAATAATATAAGAATATTATTTTCCAGCCGGACACGGTGGCTTACGCCTGTAATACCAGCACTTTGGGAGGCCAAGGCGGGTGGATCACGAGGTCAGGAGATCGAGACCATCCTGGCTAACACAGTGAAACCCCATCTCTACTAAAAATACAAAAAAATTAGCCGGGCTTGGTGGCGGGCGCCTGTAGTCCCAGCTACTCGGGAGGCTGAGGCAGGAGAATGGCGTGAACCCGGGAGGCGGAGCTTGCAGTGAGCTGAGATCGCGCCACTGCACTCCAGCCTGGGAGACAAAACAAGACTCCGTCTCAAAAAAAAAAAAAAAAGAAAAGAAAAAGAATATTATTTTCCATGGAGAGACGGAATAATACACAAACAGATTGGTGAAAGGTTTGACTATGCTGGCCAATGGGAAATGTGGGTGAGAAAGAGTGAATGGTAGAGTGCATGGGATTCCTGTCTTTCATTATGCATGTGAGGTAAATATTTTATTCCTCATACTATGTATACAAATAACATTGAAAAATAAAATTAAGTTATATAAAATAAAATCCTCTCTCTTACATGCTATAAGAGAGTAATATTTGCCTCAAGGCAGATCTAATGAGAAGTTTATTGTGAATTCATCTTTATTTTGTAAATTTTAATTTTGGAATTTATCCTTTCAAGACATATTTATTGACTGCCTAAAGTTGCAAGGCATGAGACTTCTATTTTCAGACAAATTTATTTCTGTCTTGATTCATATTCACTCTTATTAAAACCAGCAGTGGCCATAAGTTAATTATAAATTGTTGGACTTTCCCCTAAGTATGTTTACAATCATTGGTTTTAAGTATTATATTCAATAATCTAATACAGCTTAATATTCATAATAAGAAAAATAAATTAATTTTCATTTCTATTAGGCAGTAAACAGTGTTATTCCGAATTTTAAGCAAGGTGGGCTGGAGATATAACTAATGATGGTCAAAACACAAATTTTAATATAAGAAGTCTTTTTTTGGGTAAATCTACAAGTTAACTATAGTTCTAAATAGTTTTATTTTGTATTTTATGTAAAACCAAGGATAAAGAGGTGGGAATAAGGGTGTTTTTTTCTTCAGAGATAGTGATAAAATTAAAATAGACTGTTTAATCAAGTATATACAATGGTTTATAATAATCATGGGAAAAAGAAAAAAAATATCCACAATGGCAGAGAGCAAAAGCTTATTTAAGAAGTGAAGGTCATAGATAAATATGAAATTGTCTTTGGGTATATCCATCAATACACCAGTAAAATATTTTTCTGAAGATTGAGTCTTTCTGTGGAATAGTAAGGATTTGATAAAAGCATGATGAAGATAGTCACTGGGTGAACTGAAGCCTTGATGTACCTGGATAGATCCATAAGTTCTGATTAAAAAGTGGGGAATGTGTGGATAATATAACAGTGTTCCTTAATTTAACAGGATGCTGACAATAGACTTTACAACTTTATACATTTTATACATTATAATAAATGTAAAAAATCTTATTTTTATTTTATTTCTGTTTTAAACTTTTACACAAGTCTACTTTACTTTGTGAAAGTTATATTTATTTTTAAGAACTCAATAGGCAAAAATCTAGGCTTTAAATTCTCAGGTTTCTTCTACTGAAACCCCACTCCTCCTTTCGTTGCTCGGATGTCACCTATAATACTGATTTATCTCTGAGTATCTCTCACTGAAATGAATATTTTTAATTTTTTCTTAGGGATAACCAACAAATTATCCCAATATTTTCAATTTGCTTACTTTTTCTAGTCCAATGGTTCTCAGACTTGAGAGAGAATTAGAATCACTGGAGAGCTTGTTAAAACAGATATTGCTGCTCTGCAATCTCAATTTCTCATTCAGTAGGTCTGTGTTCAGGCTTGAAAACTTACATTTCTAACATGTTCTCAGAAGATTCTGATAATGCCAATAGGAACACCACACATTGAGAACACTACTACTGATTATATGTAAAGTTTTGGTAATTCAAAAACTTAACCAACCAGAATCTGTTCACTAATCATCTCTTAGGCATTATGTTAGGGACAGAGATTACAGTGTTATTCTGAATTCAGTAGGTCTGTGTTGAGGCTTGAAAATTTACATTTCTAAAATGCTCTCAGATGATTTTGATGACGCCAATAGGAGCAACACACATTGAGAATACTGCTATTGACTATATATAATTCGATATAAGTATGATTGTAAACATACTGCCCCCTAAGGGGAAAGTCCAACAACTTATAATTTGCTTACGGCCACTGCCGGTTTTAACAAAGGCGAATATGAATCAAAAAAGACAAAAATTTGTCTGGAAGTAGAAGTAAAGATATAGCCCTCATGCCTTGCAGCATCAGAGATTACAGGGTTAAAAAAGACAAAATCTATGTGCATCAGGACTATCAAATCTAGACAAAGCTTTTAACCTAATTTTCCATCATGAGGATAAAATCTTTGACCTTCTAGAGAAGTACTGTCCAAAAGAAATAGGATATGAGCCAAAAATACAATTTTAAATATTCTAGTAGCCATATTAAAGAAGAATAAATAAGTAAAATCAATTGTAATAATATATCTTATTTATCCAAATATAGCTAAAATATCATTTTAACATGTAATCAGTAGAAACATTATTAATGAGCTCTTTTACATTCTTTGTTTTCATACTAAGGTATAGTATAAATTAGTTTGTAATTTATACCTGCCATCCATCTCAATTTGGACTGGTCATATTTCAAGTGCCCAAAAGCCACATGTGGTTAATGGCTACCATATTGTAGAGCAGAGCTATAGAGAAGAAAGAAGCTATCAAGAACCAATCCATGTTGTCCCGGATTTTAGTTGTGACTTCTAGGAAGACGAGCTCCACATCCATATTTTCATGACTGACCCCTCTCATTAGGGATTCTCTTCTGTATTTCCTGCTGATTATGGCTTTTCTTGGATTTATTTCCATTATCAAATTTGAAACTTCTAAAGTACTTTTTCCCAAACTAGCTAATTTTTTGACATTCCTGTTTCTTTCAGTGCTTTTTTAGGTTAAAAACTCAATGTCATTTTTGATTCCTTATTTTTCTGATACTTTGTCTTGAGATTCTAAATACTACTCTGATTTTGGATTAGGCCATTTCAACCAATATTTAGTTTATTCAACTGGCTCCCATCTCTTTCCTGCACGTCATTCACTATTTCTTAAAACATATTGCATTCTTGGCACTATACTGTGCTATAGAGATAAAAAGATAAGTAAGATGCAGCATCTGCCCTCAGGAAATCTGCATTCTCTCTTCCTTCACTAACTCATCTTTTTATGAGTTATCCTGTGCCTTTCCTGCTCAGAATGTCCAGTGTTCAAATATTCCATTGGCTGAAACATACAACTCCAATATGATTCCATTTCCATACATTATCTTTACAGCCCTATATGTAACTGTTCTATAGCACACAACCTCTGCTCAAATTGGTTTCTTCACTGTTCCTGCATTCTAATCTCTATGATTTTGTGCGTGTAGTTTCACATGCCTGATTCTGTGTGTTTTTAACTTATATTTATTATTTTAACTTTAAAAATCTCTGACATATTTTCTCTTTGGAAAATGACTATTATTTCCAAGATGAAGATTGCTTATATTTGAGTGGGTTCAAACTACAAAGATGTTTACTTGAGATATTGACAAAGCTGAAAACATTCAGGAAGATTTCTTGTTCAAAAAAGTAAATCAACAATAGCAATTATGACAAAAACAAAACACACTTGGAACAAGTATCCAATCTTTATGAAAATTCTTTACCAAAGAATGCTGTTTAGTTCATGAAAGAAGAAACCACTTGAAGGAAAACAAAATACTTATTCCCAAAGTATTGGGGATTGTTAAGACAGTGAACACACAAGGGAATACTCTGCCTCAGCCTCTATTTGCCTTATGGTAGCACATAAATCCTTTCTTCCTAGAGACAGAACTTGCTTATCAGTGCAGAGAAGGCACCAGCCGGCACTGGAGGAAACTGGGAACAGATTTACTATTTTCCCACCCCTTAAAAGACTGAAAACAGCTCTCTCTTTTGTCTTGTCACATAGAATGTATGGCTTTTTGTTAAAACACTATTTAAACAAGGCCCCTAAGCCACTGTCTTGAGAGAGAAATACTTTTGTACTGAGGCCTCTCCCTTGTGATGGGTATAGTGCATGTTAATAAACTTCTGCTGTTTTTTCTTTTGTTAATTTGAATTTTGTTTTCAGGAGGGTATCTCAACTTAGAACCTAAAAAGAGAGAAAAAAAAAAAAAGAAAAGGAAAAAGTTTTCTCCCTCCAGCACTACTTAATCCTAAATGACTAATTCTGCCTGGAGTTAATTGATTAGACAAAACATAGCAAGGAATTTTCCCACCAAGGTGTTCCCAAATAAAATACTCTTTCAATGAATAATATACATTAAAAGGTACTCCTATTTTGATACTTAAACTTTAGCTGTTTCCTAACGATGGAATTCTCAGGTCTCCAAATACCTGTTAACTTTGTAAGAGATAGTATTATTTACTAATTAACACAGAGCCTAATGAGGAATTATAAATGTAGAGAAAAGCATGATCTCTTCAAACTAAAGATATATAAAGAGAATCTAATATTTAAAATTCTTGGGTTGGGCACAGTGGCTCACACCTGTAATCCCAGCACTTTGGCAAGCCAAGGTGGGTGGATCACCAGAGTTCAGGAGTTCAAGATCAAGCTGGCCAACAGGACGAAACCCTATCTGTACTAAAAATACAAAAATTAGCTGGGCGCGGTGGCATGTACCTGTAATCCCAGCTACTCAGGAGTCTGAGGCAGGAGAATCACTCGAATCAGGGAAGCGGAGTTTGCAGTGAGCTGAGATACTTTCACTGCACTCCAGCCTGGGTGACAGAGACTGTCTCAAATAAATAAATAAATAAATAAAATTC
Organism: Homo sapiens; assembly: GCF_000001405.40. Lineage (NCBI taxonomy): Eukaryota > Metazoa > Chordata > Mammalia > Primates > Hominidae > Homo > Homo sapiens. The sequence goes on from NC_000005.10 coordinate 84,426,510, forward strand.
TTTTACATCAGTAATGATCTATATTGGATCCCAGGAAACAAAGACTTTTTGCCAAGATATGTACTTTCAAATAAAGTTAACATTGGAAAACAAACACACGTTATGAATTTTTTAAATTAAAATATAGTAAATTGAAAATAACATACAAGAATGTGGGTTACTTGTGGCTTTCTTGTATAGGAAAATATGTAATTTTCCTACATATTAATTAGAGGACATCCTTTGGTCTTGTGTTGAAATAACAAAACCATGATAGCATAATAATATGATATGTAGTGTCATAGTATCTTATACTATTATTCTATTTTTCGGTTCTTTATTGAGATAGTCTCCTGAAAACAAAAGTCAAATGAACAAAAGAAAAACAAGCAGAAGTTTATTAACATGTGCTATTATTGTGATACATATTATCATAGTATTATGATACACATGTATATGTGATATACATGATATATAATACTTTGATAAATCAAAATCATTATGGTATAACTGAACTTTGGAATCAATAGAGATTCATTATATATGCATTTCTCACTGAAAAGATGGAAAAAGTAAGAGAAAAAGAAATCAGATCAAGTTCTTAGGATTTCAGTAGGTTGCATTATAGGAGAGGAACCCTCAGCTTAGGGAACATGCAGGTTTGTTACATGAGTATATTGAATGATGCTGAGGTTTGGGGTATGATTGATCCTGTCACTCAGGTAGTGAGCATAGTACACATATTAATGTCATCAAATAAGCAGTTTTATTCCAAGCAGATACAAAAATATCATTGCTACATAATCAAATATAACAGGATATTATATATTTTAATACATTATAACATCAAAGTATAAAAAGTTATGTTAAAATTAATAACTTTCATTTCTTTATCTATCTAAAAGTTCTAGTGTGTATTGACCTTTTAAGACCTATAAAACTCTTTTTAGAATTTCTCACAATATTGGTACAGTATTGACAAATTCCCTCAGCAATTACTTATCTGAGAAACATTTATATCTCCTTCATTTATAAAATTTAGTTTTGCTGAATACAAAATGCTTAGCTGACAGTTATTCAGTTTAAAGAGACTGAAGACAGGACCTCAATCCCTTCAGGCCTGTAGGTTTCTGCTGAGAAGTCTGCTTTTAGTCTCATAGGTTTTCCTTTATATGTTATCTAATGCTTTTGTCTTACTGCTCTTATAACTTTTTCCATCATGTTGACAATTGCCTGATGACTACATGCCTTGGTGCTGTCCTTTTTTGCAATGGATCTCCCAGGAGTTCTTTTATCTTCTTGCTTTGAATGTCTAAATCTCTAGCAATGCCAATGAAGACTTTGTCAATTATTTCTGAAATAGGTTTTACAAACATTTTGCTTTTTCTTCTCCTTTGGGAACACATATAATTCTTAGGTTTGGCCATTTTACATAATCCCATATTTCCTGGAGACTTTGTTTCTTTTGTTTCTTTATTTTGCCTGATCAGTATGATGTCTTTGACCTCTGAAATTCTTTCTTCTACTTGGTCTAGTCCATTAAAACTTTCCACGAAATTTTATAGTTCCCTAAATGTGTTTTATTGTTTCCAGAAATTATGATTGTTTCTCTTTAAAGTATCCATCTCCTTAGAAAATTTTTCATGCATATCCTGAATTGTTTTTTAATTTCTTTGTTGGTTTTCACCTTCCTCTTGTATCTCCTTGAGTAACTTAATAACCAACTCTTTGAATTCTTTATCCGATACTTAAAAGATTTCATCTTGGTTTGGATCCACTGCTAGAGATTAAGTGGGATCTTTGGGAGTGTTATAGAAACTTGTTTTTTCATATTGCAAGTATTATTTTTCTGGTTCCCTCTCATTTGATTAGACTATTCTAATTTTTTTTTGTTATACTTTAAGTTCTAGGGTACATGTGCACAACGTGCAGGTTTGTTACATAGGTATACATGTGCCATGTTGGTTTGCTGCACCCATTAACTCGTCATTTACCTTAGGTATTTCTCCTAATGCTATCCCTCTCCCAGTCCCCCACCCCCTGACAGGCACCAGTGTGTGATGTTTCCCTCCCTATGTCCATGTGTTCTCATTGTTCAACTCCCACTTATTAGTGAGAACATGCGGTGTTTGGTTTTCTGTCCTTGTGATAGTTTGCTGAGAATGATGGTTTCCAGCTTCATCCATGTGCCTGCAAAGGACAAGAACTCATCCTTTTTTATGACTGCATAGTATTCCATGGTGTATATGTGCCACATTTTCTTAATCCAGTCTATCATTGATGACATTTGGGTTGGTTCCAAGTCTTTGCTATTGTGAATAGTGCCTCAATAAACATACGTGTGCATGTGTCTTTTTAGTAGCATGATTTATAATCCTTTGGGATATAGCCAGTAATGGAATGGCTGGGTCAAATGGTATTTCTAGTTCTAGATCCTTGAGGAATCACCACGCTGTCTTCCACAACGGTTGAATTAATTTACACTTCCACCAACAGTGTAAAAGCTTTCCTATTTCTCCACATCCTCTCCAGCATCTGCTATTTCCTGACTTTTTAATGATTACCATTCTAAGTGGCATGAGATGGTATCTCATTGTGGTTTTGATTTGCATTTCTCTGATGACCAGTGATGATGAGCATTTTTTTCGTCTGTTGGCTGCATAAATGTCTTCTTTTGAGAAGTGTCTGTTCATATCCTTCACCCACTTTTTGATGGGGTTGTTTGTTTTTTTCTTGTAAATTTGTTTAAGTTCTTTGTAGATTCTGGATATTAGCCCTTTGTCAGATGGGTAGATTGCAAAAAATTTCTCCCATTCTGTAGGTTGCCTGTTCATTCTGCTGATAGTTTATTTTGCTGTGCAGAAACTCTTTAGTTTAAATAGATCACATTTGTCTATTTTGGCTTTTGTTGCCATTGCTTTTGGTGTTTTAGTCATGAAGTCCTTGCCCATGCCTATGTCCTAAATGGTATTGCCTAGGTTTTTTTCCAGGGTTTTTATGGTTTTAGGTCTTACATTTAAGTCTTTAATCCATCTTGAGTTAATTTTTGTATAAGGTGTAAGAAAGGGATCCAGTTTCAGCTTTCTACATATGGCTAGCCAGTTTTCCCAGCACCGTTTATTAATTATTTTTAATTAATTTATTTATTTGAGATTTTTTAAAAATGTCTTTCTTTCCCCTTGAGGATGTGACTTTAATGTTTATAGTTTATTGTTACCTAGCTTTGGCTCTGGGTGCTTCCAGTGGTGAAGACTTTGTGTAAGTTCTTTGGTTCTAGGGAATCTTTGTGTGATGGCTTTCTCAGATGCTGATTGTAGTAGCAGGATCACTTTCTCCTGTGGGGCTGGAATGGCAGAGATCTTATGAAGCTTATCTCATTCCCCAGTGGTGTTCACTTTACATTTATTTCCCAGTATTTTATTCACTGGGTTGAACGGTTCAGGCCTCAGGCCAGTAGGAGATACCCATGTGCAAAAACTTGCTGTAGCTGAAGCAGGTGGGTAAATGCAATACGCTAATTGTGGGCAGAGGTCCCAGCCTTGACAGAGGCAGCTGAGGAAGCTGCCAGTGAAATGTGCTGAGGTCTTTTCAGGGGAAAGGGAGGCAATTACCACAGGTCTCCTTTCATGCCAGCAGGAAAGCAATCTGCTTCCTATTCACTCTCCTGACCTGGTGTGCCAGCTATTGAGACCAGACAGGCACCTCTTTTTATCTGCAGGAATGCTAATGTTCCAAGGAGAGAAGGATTTTGACTCTACCTCTCATGCAAGCCTAAACCTGTGGGGCATTCCTCCTATGGGGATGCATTCACCATGAAGTGTTCCAGAGAGGCTGTGTACAGATGTACCCATGTGGAGCACTCATTGGAGAAGCCCTACCTGTGTCTGCAATGGTGGTTGAGAAGGAGAAGTCCCCTTCTCCAAGACCCTTTGTAAGCACTTGGGCTGTCTGACTGTTGGGGTAGAACTGCAGACTTTCCCCATTGAGCCTAGTACTGCACGTGTCTCTACTGAAAGAAAATTTCTACAAGTGGAAAGTTCAGGAACTCAGGGCCTATAGTCTGTGCTACTTTTGGTTTTATTTTGCTTTTGTCCATAAGGCATTTCCTTCATGTGGTACACTCCCCTTTTCCCTAAAAGTAACTATCCCTGAGGGCCAGAATGTTGTAAATACTTCTGCTTCTCTGGGTCTAGCCACTAAGTAGGGATGCCGTACCCCAGGCTGGTGTTGGGGAATGTCTCTAAGGGATCAAGTTATGTGACCTGTCCTCTAGTCTCCAAGCAGTGGGTACAAGCGCTAGTTCTGGTGAGAGTGGAGGGACAGTAATGTAGAATCTGAGATTTCCTTGGTTATAAATAGCCTTAATGTGTTGGCTTTCTCAAATGCTAGCTGTAGTAGTAATGTACTAGTCACATGGACAAAGTCAAGACCCCATGGATAGCCAGGGTGATGCAGGAAATGGTGATAGGTGAGGTTGTGCAAAAGTTTTCTCCTTCCTGAGCACTGTATGATTCTACTTGCAGATGTCTTAATGGGTTATGCCAATTGGCCTCCAGCCAGGAGGTGGCTTTTACAAAAGAGCACCAGCTGCAATGGTAGCAATGGTGTTTGTGCTTGCCTTATGTTACCCAGGGGAGATACTCTAGTGTCTCAGGCAGTGGATTGGGCCGTGGACCTTTCAGAAGTCCTTGTGCGTTGTGTAATGCTACCAGGGTGGATGGAGAGGCAAAGCCCAGTGAGGTCTGGGTCAGGCAAGTCTGCACTTGGCTCCCCACAAGCAAGTGCAGGCAGCCCCAATAGGGATCTCAGGGTAGTTCCTTGGCCACTAGAATAATGTTCCAGGAAGGGGCACAGCTGTATCTGCAGCACAAAAGACTCTGCATGGGAAAAGGAGGTAGCAGGTGGCAGTAAACCCCACTCAGTTCCCATGTACTTGGCAAGGCCGGTCTTACACCCACAGTGTTCTGCTAGAAGCAGAAAGCTGTGATCTAGGCAGCCTGTGCTCAGATCCAAAACTGCCTGAGGCCATAAGCCTTCCCAACCAAGATACAAACCACAAATTTCTGGCCATGCCCCTCCTGGTCCACCTGCAAAGCATGAGCATCCAGCTTCTGTGCCTGTGGCTATAACACACCTCCTGCTCACCCCTTGGTTCTGGCCAAGGGGGTTATTCCCACTCAAGATTATATTGCAAATCTCAGGCACTTCTTTCAACCTGTGACCACTGTCTGAGTTCCCTCGTTGACTTCCACCAGGTTATCTGTGAGGTAGAATCAGGAATGACATCCCTCTGTCTCCACAAAGAACATCCTGATGCTGCTCCTTCTCATATATTCTTCACCACTCACTAAATCAGCCTCAGAACTAGATAGGGTTAGGCATTCCCCCATGGCCTAGATTGCCTGGCTCCCCAGTGGGAGTTTATGTCACAGAAGCAGTCTTTCTTTCTCTCATGCTCTGGAAACTCACAGTTTTCTTCCTGGTTCCTGGTATAGACAGTTTCCCACTGCTTTTTTCAGAGTCTGTGGTTTCTTTAAGCTTTTCTGTTAAGTTCTTGTGTTGCTTCTTCGTAAAAAAAAAAAGTTTACAGTGTGAATCTCTACACACTATTTTGTCTTTCCAAGTGGTAGAGGCATGCTAATAATCCCTCTAACCCACCATCTTAGGGGAAAAAAAGGGATTCTGTAAGTTTTGACAAATTTTATTTTCATCTTAACTTAGTTCAAAGGGCTTAGAGGCTAAAAATATTTATTGTTTTTAGAGACAGGGTCTCTCTATGTTGCCCAGGCTGACTCAAACTCCTGGGCTCAAGTGACTCTTCCACCTCAGCCTCTTGAGTAGCAGAAACTACAAGCACGCACCACTGTGCCTGGCCAGATGTAAAATATTAATATTTAAATATCTCTCTTGCGGATTTTCAACTTAAGATATTTAGGCAAGTAAGGTCGTTCTGATTCCTTGTTAAAAAACCAGACATAAATTCTTTTCCTTATCAGATTAGTTCTCTAACATATTTTTCTTTGTGTCAGAATTGCTTGATTCTCCAGATCAGAAGTACTTGGGCTACAATAAATCCTCAGTCACCTGCCATCCCGTACATCAAATGGCACAGTGCCTTTGTGGAGACTACCTATATACCACCTGCTTTGCCATGCTGGTAAACTCATTCTGTACATAACATTTTGGGGCTGCTGTGCCCTAAATGATTATCCCTACATAATTCACAATATTTTCTTTCTGGTGGTTGTATCCGGTTGATAATTCAGTTTAATTATTTGAGTTTATCCTCTAGGTTTTCTTTACATGTAGAAAGGTTATACTTAAATTGACCTCTTAAAGAAGGAGTGATCCACTTGATAATCTATAGCATATGAAGGGTTGCTGAGAATATATGAACAATTAATATCTGAAAACGTACTAATGGACTACTAAGAAAAGATATTTTTGGCCACTTTTAGTTTTAGATGGTTGGTATTTTTGTTAAAGAAAAAAGCAATTCAAGCTTTCAAAATACTCTTTTAGGAGAAGGATATATTCACTTCTCAAAATAGGAAGCCATTTATCTATTAAAAAGGATGATGTGGGCGTATATTGTATTTTTCTTTCTATTTTTGGCAGATAATGTCAGAGACTTGATTTATAATGTGTGCTTTAGCAGAATAATTTTTTCTAGTATGTTTTATAAAAGTTTACTTCTTTTCACATCACATACATCTTTTTTTCTTTTGTCTCTACATTTGTGCATCTTTTCTACATCCATTCATGTTCAAATGTCCTATCAATACTTATCAATATAGCAAATATTTTAATGTCTATGAAAATGACATTTATTTTCCTATAACTTAAAAATTTGAAAGAAAATAGTGAGTTTTTTGTTTTTTTTTTTTTGCCATTGCTATCTGTTCAAGGTTCAGTGTAGGCAACAAAAGACTCTTAGATATTTAAAACAGAATAGGATCTTTTGAAACACTGCTGAAATGTAGAATGATTCCCAGAATAATGAAAAGCTGTCCAATCATGAGAACTACTACTTCAGATCCCATCAGTGTACTTAGAGTTACACTGGAATAAGAACCTATTTTAGTTTTTGCTGTCTCTGCCCCTGACCTCCCTGTAGATTTGAGAAAGAAACACCATAATTATGAGTCAGGAATTAGGAAGTTGTAGGAGTTACTGCTGCTATTGCTGATGCCACAGCTGATTAGGAAACTGGACAATGGACCCTGGATCTCTATTGGAGGGAGACCTCACATATCTACAACTAGGCTTGCCAGCATCACTATTCATAAATTATGCAATGACTATAATCCTCCATACGTGAGGTTCAACTCTAGTTATAAGTCTAGAAAATATTGTAATTAGTTATGTTTAAGGCCAAATTATGGGTAAATTCATAAAATTAACTTGGAAATAATTGGATTTTAAGCTACTTAAATGCACATAAATGATTTTAAAAGTATGAGTTTTAAAATTACATTACTATGATTTCTCATAAATATCATTTGGATGCAGTCAAATGTTCACTTTAAAGTAGTTTCATTTTTCTTTGACATAAAAAATATACTTATATGGAAATCTTCTATTTTTTGATGCTTGGCATCATCATAAATTTCTCGTGCCTTTTCCATGAAGTAAAAAGAAAGTGGTCAGTTTTTACTTTCCAGGTTTCTACTTACCTCTGTCCAATAGTCAATCATCAAATTCGAAGGAATTTCAGAAATGATTATTTTCTAACTCTTTGATTGCACCTAGGATTTCTGCTTCTTCATATGCTTTGGACATGCTTTGTTAGTTGGCATTGAAACTAAAGGTAGGGGGGATAATGTGTCTCATTTCTTGTCTACCATAATGTGGGTTGATATTAAAAACCCCTAACTCTCAACACCTGACTTTTAACCTTGGTACCATATGTGTTTATTGGATAGAGAAGATGTTTCAAAGGGAAAGGGGAAAAATTCCTAAATTACTCATTTCTCCCTGTACTCGTTCTGCTTATCCAAAAATCATTTTTTGTTGTTAGGTTTCAGTCACGTTTTTATAATGTAAGCTTTATGCAATCAAGAATTTTGTCTGTCTTGGTCTTTTTTGTCTAGCACCAAGAACTAGTACTGAAACTGAATATATTGTACAGAAGAAGGAAGGAGAACATTCTTACAGGACTAATACTCATTAAGTACCCAATATTTTCTATAATTTCAAACCAACACAAAGTCAGTGAGTTTTACCTTCTAAAGAATTGTATTAGGGTTCAAAATTATCAGTCAGGATTTATGAAGCATCAGTAACAATTCAACAGTTAGATATAGAAACTGGAAGTCTACTTTATGTTATATTATTGGAGCCAGCTTCTCTTATGAGGCAACATTTATGTGAAGGCCTAAACAATGTAATGGTAACAGATTGCACAAAGAATCAGAAAGAGGGTTTTCCCCATTCTGCTCCTTTTCCACCAGTGCTGTCACTTCAGATGTAGTGGCTTCTTTCTCATTGAATCCTATGGTCAATTCAAAAGAGGAAACATCAATACTATAGCCTGAACAATTTGGAGATATAAAGCCAATAATGTCAATAAAGCTATATACCAAATATTTTAATGGCAATAACTTGATTACTGTTATATTCTGAATGTTTTTGTTCCCCCAAATTCATATGTTGAAATCTAATCATCAATGTGATGGTATTAGGAGTTGGGGTTGTTGAGAGGTAGTTAGGCCAAGAAGGCAGACCCCTAATGAATGGAATTATTGGCCTTATAAAAGAAGTCCTAGAGAGCTGCTGTGTGCTTTCTACTGTGTGAGCATGCAGTGAGAAGATGGATATTTACAAACCAAGAAGCAGACCCTCATCAGACACCAAATCTGCTGGCACGTTAATCTTGGACTTCCTAGCCTCCAGAACTGTTGCGGGAAGTCAGGGACCCTGAACAGAGGGACCGGCTGGAGCCGAGGCAGAAGAACATAAATTGTGAAGATTTCATGGACATTTATCAGTTCCCAAAATTAATACTTTTATAATTTCTTACACCTCTCTTTACTGCATTCTCTGAACATAAACTGTGAAGATTTCATGGACATTTATCACTTCTTCCCGAATTAACACTCTTATAATTTCTTATGCTTGTCTTTACTTTAATCTCTTAATCCTGTTATCTTCGTAAGCTGAGAATGTACATCACCTCAGGACCACTATTGTACAAATGGATTGTAAAACATATGTGTTTGAAATCAGTGTACCCTGAAAAAGAACAGAATAACAGTGATTTTTCAGGGAACAAGGGAAGATAACCTTAAGGTCTGACTGCCTGCAGGGTTGGGCAGAATAGAGCCATATTTTTCTTCTTGCAGAAAGCCTATAGACAGATGTGTGAGTAGAAGAAATATCGCTGAATTCTTTTCCCAGCAAGGAATAACCCTAGGGAAGGAATGCATTCCTGTGGGTAGGTCTATAGAGGGCTGCTCTGGAGGTGTCTATCTTATGTGGTTGAGATAAGGACTGAAATACGCCCTGGTCTCCTGCAGTACCCTCAGGCTTGCTAGGATTGGGAAATTCCAGCCTGGTAAATTCTAGTCAGACCGGTTGTCTGCTCTTGAACCCTGTCTCCTGTTAAGATGTTTATCAAGACAATGCGTACACAACGGGACATAGACCCTCATCAGTAATTCTAATTTTGCCTTCACCTTGTAATCTTTATTGCCCTTTGAAGCATGTGATCCTTGTGACCTACTCCCTGTTGGTAAACCTTCCCCCGCTTTTAAAACTCCTAATAAAAACTTGCTGGTTTTGCAGCTTGGAGTCAGCATCACGGTCCTACCAATATGTGATGTCACCCCCGGAGGCCCAGCTGTAAAATTTCTCTCTTTGTACTCTTTCTCTTTATTTCTCAGACTGGCCGACACTTAGGGAAAATAGAAAAGAACCTACATTGAAATATTAGGGGCTGGTTCCCTTGATACAGAGCAGTGCCAAATAAATGTCTGTTGTTTATATGCTACTCAGTTTATAGTATTTTGTTACAGAAGCTATAATGGGCTAAGACAGTGGCCTATATAAATTTATCTTTAAATTAAATAACCAAAATAACACTTTCTGTAGCATTACATCTTCCCAAGAGCGATTAATATAAAATATATTTATTTAAGAAATTACCCATCTGTGAACTGACTCCTGTTATCTCAGATGTTATTCACTGCTGAGAATTTAGAAGTCAAAAAATAATACTTCTTTTTTATTTTCTGAGTCTGGAATCAATTAAGAGAATTACTCAATAATTCATAAATATGGCAATTTAAGTATAATATATAGAATATGATGGCTTCAGTAGGGAGTGAGTGGAAAGTACACTTATTCTTTCACCATTGTTCTTGCCATTTTGCTTATTTAATATATTTAATCAATTTGATTATGCTCTATTTTAATTTTCTCCCTGGAAAATGAAGAGAAAATTGTTTTTGCATGATCTAAGATTTCAAGATTCTATGTTTATGGCAAAAAGCTTATGCTCGGTGTATGAGTGAGACATTGATGATAAAGTCCTTTCTTCTGTACCTCCAAAGGCTTATAAGGCTACAGATTAGTCAGACATGCAAATAACTGTAATGAAAGGAAAGGAAACCTGTGAGCCAGGACTATGTAAAAAGATCCAGACAGGGTAAGTTGCATGAAGACAAAAATGAAAATACTTCATTTCAAGGACTTCTTAGTTCTTTTATACAGAAACCAGAAAATTATTTCACTGTAAAATGTCCTTGGCTACTGAAGAGACCACAGACTTTAATATAAAGGTTATTAACTGTTCCAAAAATGAGTAAAAACCTATCTTTTAACAGGCTAAAACTTTTTACAAAAATGTTTAGGTTTCACTGATAAACATTTATAGACCTAAAAAGTGGAAGAAATATACATTTTGAGAAACACTAAAAATTTTTCCAATGTTTTTTAAAAATAAAAAATATATATTTTTGATTTAAAAATAAGCATGAGCTAGACAAATTTTTTCTGCATATATTTGTAGTTCTTTCTTTAAATACTGGTATGCACATAATTTTAATACTTTCAAATATATTATAAAGACTTCAGATTTTTTGAAACACTTCAGGTTTCAGCAAAGTTTGGAGATTATCAATCCTATCCTCAAAAGAAAAAAAAAAAAAAAACAGTTGTACAAACTGAAAACCAACAATTTTTCTTAGGTTCATTAGAAAATTGAGGTCACGGGGCAAATGGCCATACCAAAATCTGAAGAGAGAGTTAAATACAGAGAGGCACAGCCCAGGTCAACTGATGTGAATCATAAACTGTTAGAGTCAGTAACTAACTACAAGCATGACTCAGAGATATTGTGGGTTTGATTCCAGACCACCCACAATAAAGTGAATATCATAATAAGGTGACTCATATGAATATTTTGGTTTCCCTACACATATAAAAGTTATGTTCACACTATAATGTAGTCTATTAAGTGTGCAACAGCATTATGGTAAAAAAAATGAGCATATCTTAATTTAAAAATACTTTATTGCTTAGAAATGCTTATCATCATCAGAACCCTCAGTGAGCCTTAATCTTTTTGCTGCTGGAGGGTCTTGCTCAATATTGATGGCTGCTGACTGATCAGAGTGGTGTATGGTGAAGATTGGGGTGGTTGTGGTGGTTTTAAAAATAAGACAACAATGAAATTTGCCGCATTGATTGACTCATGCTTTCATGCATGATTTCTCTGTGGCATGAAATGCTATTTGATAGCATTTTACTCATAGTATAATTTCTTTCAAAATTGGAGTCAGTGCTCTCAAACCCTGCTGCTGCCTTTACCAACTTTTATGTAATATTCTAATATTATGTAGTATTCTGAGATTATGTAATATTATATAATATTCTCTTTGTTGTCATTTCAACAATGCTCACAGCATCTTTACCAGGAGTGGATTCCACATCAAGAAACCACTATCTTTGTTAATCTCCAAGATGCAAATCCTCACCCATTCCAGTTTTATAATCAGATTGCAGCAGTTAAGTCACATCAGTAAGCTCCACTTCTAATTCTTTTTCTCTTGCTATTTTCATCACATCTGCAGTTATGTCCTCCACCGAAGGTCTTGAACTCCTCAAAGTTACTCATGAGGGTTGGCATCAACTTCTTTCAAACTCCTGATAATGTTGATATTTTAACCTCCTACCATGACTCCAGAATGGTCTTAGTGGTATCTAGAATGGTGACTCCTTTCCTGAAGGTTTTCAATTTCCTTTGCCCAGTTCCATCAGATAAATCACTGTCTAAGGCAGCTATAGCCTTACAAAATGTATTTCTTAAATAATAAGACTCCAATCTGAAGTGGTTCCTTGATCCAAGGGCTACAGAGTGGATGTTGGATGTTGTGTTAGCGGGTATGAAAACATTCATGTCCTTGTACATCTCCATTGGAGCTCTTGGGTGACCAGTGAAAGCCCTAGATGGCATCTTCTTCCAATATAAGGCTGTTTGGTCTACACTGAAATATCTGTTGTTTAGCGTAGCCACCCTTATCAATGATCTTAGATCTTCTGTACAACTTCCTACAGCTTATATATTAGCACTTACTGTTTCACTTTGCCTTTTTAGTTATGGATATGGCTTCTTTCCTTAAACCTCAGGGACCATCCTCTGCTAGCTTCAAACTTTTCTTCTGCAGCTTCCTTACCTCTCTCAGCCTTCATATAATTGAAGAGAGTTAGACCATTGTTCTGAATTAGGGTTTGGTTTAAGGGTATATTGTGACTGGTTTGATCTATCCAGACAGCTAACACTTTCTCCATATCAGTAATAAGGCTGTTTCACTCTTTTACCATTCCTTTGTTTACTGAAGTAGCATTTTTAATTTCCTCCAGGAACTTTTTTATTAGTATCATGTCTGTCATGGTGCTCTGTGATCAATGATCTTTGATGTTACCAATGTAATTGTATTGGGCCACCACGACTCACACCCATATAAGGAGGCATATGTAATTGGTAAGTGCTGTGTGTGTTCTGATTTGCTCAACTGAACAGCTATTCACTCATTTCTCTCCTTCTCAGCTCTCCCTATCCCCTGAGACACAACTAAACAGGCATACCTTAGAAATATTGTGAATTTTGTTCCAGATCACCTTAAGAAAACAAATATCATAATAAAGTGATTCACATAAATTTTTTGTTTCCCAGTGCATATAAAAGTTATGTTCAGATTATGTAGTCTAGAGGGAAATAGTCATTTCGAAAATGCTCAGGTGAAAAGTGACTATACTGAAATAAACTTGGATTATTCTCTGTAACAAAGGCCCATCCTTCAAGGGAAACTACTTTACCAGAGCCTTGTGAAATCTGAGGAAGGGACAAGTACCCAACTCCAGTACCCTCTAGCCTTCTTGTCTTTCATAAGGTAAAGAGCAAAAAAGTCTAAGAAGCACTTCTGAAGGTCACAGAAGGGGGATTTTGGCCACTAAAAGAAAGATTTAATCATAAGTTTATAGAATGCTTCCCTCCTCAATATCTTACTGGCACATTAATACAGCTCTAGAATAACAACAGTGAATTACAACTGAGAGAACCTGAAGGCAGATTCTATTAAAGAAGTCATTCTTAGGAAATCCAAAGATAGGAAGATGGAAAAAACTAAAGTAAACAAAACGAGGAAACTTGAGAAAACTGAAGTCTCTTGGACCTACAACTGCTGCAAACATCTAGAAATCTGTCTCCAGTGAAATTACCCTTCATAAGTCACAGAGAAATAAAGACTTTCTGAGACAAAGAAAATGAGATAATTTGTCACAAGTAGACATACTTTGCAAAAAATTTTAAAAGAAATTATTTAAAGAGAAGAAAAATAATATGTGTCATAAACTGAGATCTACATTAAGGAAGAGCATCAGAGAAGAAATGTATGAAGATAAAATAAAATGATGTATTTTTATGATTCATAATTAACCAAATAGATAATGTTTGTTCAAAGTAATTATAGCAATAATATATGGAGTGATTACAGTGTGTGGATAAGTGAAATTAAGAAACAGCAAGAAGGAATTGAAAATACTCTGCTATATGGTATCTGCACTACTCAGGAATTGGTATAGTGTTATTTGAAAGTGGATTTAGAATAATCATAAATGTATGTTGTAAACCTTAGGGTCAGCACTAAAACAATTTAAAAATGTATGGTGGAAATGCTGAGAGGAGATGAGATGGAATCATATAAACTACCCAATTAAAACTAAAGAAGGAGGAAAAAGGAGCTGTAAAAAATTCAAGAAAAATGACAAAGAATAAAAAATTGTTGCAAACATGATAAATATTAATTCAACTATGTACACTAGTAATCACTATAAACATAAATGGTCAAAATACACCAATTAAAAAATAAAGACTGTCAGAGTGAATTAAAAAATAAGATCAAAGAAGAAGTCTCAAGAGAAATTTTAAAATACTGTCAATTAAATAAAAATTAAAATGCCACTTATCAAAATTTGTAGGACTTAGTAAAAGCAGTGCTAAGCAGGAAATTAATAACATTGAATTCATATATTAGAAATGAAGATCTAAGCCTCATTAATCTAAGCCTCCACCTTAAACCTGTAATAAGAGAAACATAATTCTAAAGGAAGCAGAATAAAAGAAGGAGAAAATAGTGTATAACTTGACATTGAAGACAAAAAATCCATAAAGAAAATCCATAAAACAAAAAGCTGATTCATTGAAAAAATAAATACAATTGATAAAACTCTTGCCAGGATAACCAAGACAAAATAAAAAGGGAAGATACAATTTACTACTATCAGAAATGAAAGAGGAGTCATCATTATAATCCTTTCAAGGTCCTTGGGGGTTGATGTTATGAAAAACTCTATGTCTATAAATTTGATAACCTAGATGAAATGGGTTAATTCATTGAAAGACATAAACTACCAAAACTCACATAAGGAGACAGATAATAAGAATAGACCTATATCTAAGAAGGAATTAAAAAATAATTAATAATCTTACAAAAAATCCCAAACCACCAGGCCCACATGGTTCACTGATAAATTCTGTAAACATTTATGGAGAGCAGAGAACACCTTCTAATTCATTCAGTGAGGCCAGCATTACCTTAATACCAAAATCCAACAAAATATTACAAGAAAGGGAAACTACAGACCAATATTCTCATCAAGAGAGTTTTTAAGAACTTTAACCAAATATTTGCAAATCAAGTTCAATAATGTATGCAAAGCATTATATACTATGACAAAGTGGGATTTATTCCAGGCATGCAATGCTGATTCAACATTTTAAAAAATTATTAAGATATTCCATCACAATAACAAGCTAATGAATAAAAATTATACACTTCAATAGATACATAAAAACTTTTGACAAAACCCAACACTCATTTGTGATTAAAAACTCTCAGTACACTAGGAGTTGAGGGGAATATTTGCAATTTGATGAAGACCATATACAAAAATCTTACAAGTTTACCTCACTAATTGTGAGAAGCTAGATGCTTTCCCCTAAAACTGGGAACAGTAAAGATGTCCTCTTTTCCCATTCTTATTAAATATTGTACTGGAAATAGAGCTAACTAATTCAATAAGACAAGGAAAGAAAATAAAACTATATAGATTGGAAAGAAAAATAAAACTGTGTATATTCATAGATAACTTGATTTTCTGTGTAGAAAATACCAACCATTCCTCAAAAAATATCCTGGAACTAATAAGTATGTATGGCAAGATTGCAGATACAATGTTAAAACAAAAATCAGTTGTTTCCTATATGGTAGTAATAAATTAATGAAATTTGAAATTAAAAACACAGTACCATTTATATTAGCACCAAAGAAATGAAATGCTTAGATATAAATCTAATAAAATATGTATAGAATCAATATGAAGAAAACTAAACTCTTATGAAGAAAATCAAAGATGATATAAATAAATGGAAAGATAATTCATGTTCTTTTATAACAATACTCAATATAATTAAGATGTCAAGCATTCCCATCTTTATCTATAAATTCAACTCAATCCCAGTAAAAATCAAGGCAAGTTATTTTGTGGATATTGACGAACTGATTCTAAAATTTGTATGAAAATTCTAAAGACCCAGAACAGAGAGCACAATACTGAATAAGAAAAGTTCATGGACTGACACTACAGAACTTTAAGATTTCCTATGAAACTACAGTGTCAAGACATTGTAATATTGATGAAAGAAAAGACAAATAGATCAATGGAACAGAATAGAGAGCCCAGAAATAGATTCAGAAATACAGTGAAGTGATCTTTGATAAAAGAATAAAGGCAATTCAGTGGAGAAATGATAATCTTTTCAACAAATGTCCTGGAAAATTGGACATCTCTATGCAAAAATATAACTCTAGACACAGACTTTTTGCAAAAATTGAAAGGGGTCATAGATCTAAAGGTAAAATGCAAAGTTTAAAACTCCTAGGTGCTAACATAAGGAGAAAATGTAGGTAACCATCGGTTAGGCAATGAGTTTTCAGACTGAACACCAAAAGTACGATTCATGAAAGAAAAAAAAAATCGTAAGTTTGACTTTAGCAAAATTAAAAAGTTCTGCTCTTTGGAAAACACTGTTAATAAAATAAAAAGGCAAGCCATAGACTAGGAGAAAATGTTTGCCAAACACATTTCTGATAAAGAAGGTGTGTCTAAAAATACAAGGATCCCTTAAAACTTAATAATGAGAAAAAAACAAAAACTGAGCAAAAGATCTGAACAGGCATTTCACCAAAGAAGATATACAAATTGCAAATAAGCCTATGAAAAGATGCCCAACATTGTATGTCATAAGGTAATTGCATATTAAAACACTATAATACCACACACCTATTAAAATGGCTAAAATCCAAAAAAATACACTGAGTATATCAAATGCTGACTAGGATGTAGAACAACAGAAACTCTCATCCATTGATAAGAAAAATTTTAAAAAATGATACAGCCACTTTGGAAGACAGCTTGGTAATTTCTTACAAAGCTAAACATGGTCTTACCACATGATCCAGCAGTGGTGTTCCTAAGTATTTACACAGTTGGGTTGAAACTTATAGCTACATAAAAACCTGCAAACATCTTGATAGCAGATGTATTCATAATTTCACAGAACTGGAAGTAACCAAGATATCCATCAATAAGTGAATGGATAAATTATGCTATATCCATAAAATGTAATGTTGTTCTGCAGCAAAAAGAAAGGAGCTATCAAGACAATTAGATGACAGGAAGGAGCTTTAAATGCATATGGCATTTAAGTGAAAAAAAAAAAACAGTCTGAAAATAATACATTCTGTATGATTCCAACTATTTGAGTCTGGATAAGATAAAGAGTAGAGACAATAAAAGTCAGTTGTTGCTGGCGATGGTGGTGGTGATGGGAGAGATAATAGGTGGAGCATAGAGAACTTTTAGGGCAGTAAAACTGATTTGTGTAATGGTCTACTAGCAGATATATGACATTATATATTGGTCAAACCCCACAGAACTATACAAATAGTGTACAAGGGAACAAAGAGTGAATCTCCATTTAAGCCATGGACTTCAGTTAATGACATGTCAATATTAGTTCATTAATTGTAACAAATGTACTATACTAAAGCAAGATGTTAAAATAAGGAAAATTGTCTGTGTATCAGGGTCAGGTATCTGAGATCTCTGTTCTATCTGCCCAATTTTATGTACATCTAAACTCTTCTAAAGAAATTTTATGTACATCTAAACTCTTCTAAAGTCAGCCAGGCGCGGTGGCTCACGCTTGTAATCCAAGCACTTTGGGAGGCCGAGGTGGGTGGATCACTTAAGGCCAGGGGTTCGAGGCCAGCCTGGCCAACATAGTGAAACCCCATCTCTACTAAAAATACAAAAAATTAGCCGGGCATGGTGGTGGGTGCCTGTAATCCCAGCTACTTGGGAGGCTGAGGCAGGAAAATCACTTGAACCCGGGAGGTGGAGGTTGCAGTGAGCCAACATCACAGCCTTGCACTCCAGCCTGGGCAACAAGAGCAAAACTCTGCCTCAAGAAAAGAAAAAACAAAAAAAAGAAAGGAAGAAAGAAAAGAATAAAGTCCATTAGTGAAAAAATGTATTTATAAAGTTGAACAAAAATGAATATTTATCTCTGTTATAGATGATAAAAGTTTAATTCTGGCTGAATCTTTTATTTTAAAAGATGAAAACAATGGATACACTGATAATGCGCTTTCAAAAGAAATCTAACAAATCTGAGTGTGCAGCCCATCAGAAGCATTAATATATCACTATGAGAAAGGCAGAGCAAAACCTTTTTCTTTTGTCTTTTGTTAATATCTTAACCTGAAGAGAGTCTCCTTGTAGCCTAGGTTATGTTAGCATAGGGAAACGGAGAGAGAGCAAGGGATCATGAAATCTACTGATACCTGCGATCCAAATTAAGACATTAATTCCAGGTCTGTTTGTGTCAGAGCGAATGACACATTAGTATTTATTTAGCATACATTAGAAATTCTATAAAATTCCTTGTTTTATGAATTTATTAACTTGAAGGCAGTCTAAAATAATCTCTCTATTTTATTTCATATGTATACTTACCAAGCTAAGTCAAATTGATTAGTACCTGGATGAGGATTTGGCAGATGCAGTAAATGATGCATATTGCCTTGAATTCTAGGAAATTCCAAGCACATAATTATTATTTGGTTTCTTAACGATCTAATCTCAGAATTCTACCCTCAAAAAGAGAGAGAGAGAGAGATGAGAGAGAGAGAGAGATGAGAGAGAGAGAGAGACAGAGAGAGAGAGAGAAAGTATGTGTGTATGTGAGGGGCAGTGGGGTGGGGAGGCAACTAATGATTATGAATAATATGTTGTAATTGTTTTCCTTAAAAACCAGGTTGCATATGACACTTCTCATAAATCTTATGAGCAAGGAACTTACAAATAAAGTTACTCTAAACTTCAGTGTCTAAATTCCAATGACACTCATCTACTTATAGTGCCAGTAAAAGTAGTTCATGAACCCGGGATTTCATAGTGATTCACAAATCTCTTTATCCTTTATTACCACACTTCTACAACTGAGTAGGGTAACTAAGGTATAAGGATACTGTCAATAGTAGCTATTCACATTTCCACATACCTTCACATCCTGGCAATCTTTTTAGGAATAGTGGCAGTCAATAGCAATCATTGAACATTGATTCTTTGTCCTGATGTTTTCAGCTTACTGCACATTCCACAATGAAATCATTCAGTTATCTTCCTTGATGTAACTTCCTATCTGAAGACATTCTCAGCACTCCCTATTTCTTACCATCTTTACTGAATTTCCAAACATTATTCCAGCCATGCCACTTGTTAAAACAACAAAACAAACCAAACAAAAACTTCCTTTTTTCCTTTAAGCAATTGATCTATTTTCTTTTAAAATTTTCCACAAAACTCATTCCACAAGTTACCCGTTTTGGTTTTTTTAGGTTTTTTTTTTTTTTTTTTTTTTTTTGATGGAGTCTCGTTCTGTCTCCCAGTCTGGAGTGCAGTGGCGCGATCTCAGCTCCCTGCAACCTCCGCCTCCTGGGTTCAAGTGATTCTCCTGACTCAGCCGCCTGAGTAGCTGAGACTACAGGTGAGTGCCACCATGACTGGCTAATTTTTGTATTTTTAGTAGAGACGGGGTTTCACCATATTGGACAGGCTGGTCTTGAACTCCTGACCTTGTGATCCACCTGCCTTGGCCTCCCAAAGTGCTGGGATTACAAAGACTTTTTGTATTCAATTTTTCAAAACAATAAATGAAAATTTAAAACAGAAGTTATAGAACTTGGGCTTAAATTATAATAAATGGAAAAGTTGATCAAGTTCATTTTCATAGTCCATCTGCACAATTAGTTCATTAAAAATATATATTGATATCAACTATTTTCTAAGCACTCAAGAGAAAAAAAGATGAATAATAACATTGTTGCTGCCCAAACTTATAATCTAGATGGTATAAACAACTAATACAAACACATATGAACAGTTGTAAACTATTAAATGTATGAAAGTAAAAGGGACATGATGAAATCAGAAATTTATGGGTCTTGAGAAATTTGATAGTCAAAATTTTTACATCAATTATGCAGAACTGCTGCTAAAATTATCAGTTATTCTATATTAGCCAAATAGATGACTTCAGTTTTCTTTTTGGGCTCTCTTCTCAGGACTACATAGCCATAATCCTTTTTTCAGCTTTCAGGAGGAAATGAACACATCCGTTAAAGTTTTAATCCATGAGCTTGTTTTCCCAATTTCTAAAAATATAAAACATTAAGTCCATATTTTTATAGAAATCAACTTATCTTTGAGCAGCTGCAATTTTTATTCTGCATCTTTCAAATTTGTTTTAAGGTGCTATAAAATTAACAGATGCTCTTATTTCTCAGCATCCCAGTGAAGGAAAGGAGATTAAGTGGAATTTTTGTAGTAGCCATTTCTCCTGACTGTACCTATTATAAGACCACTCACTTATATTAAAAGAAATATCTAAAATTATCTTGACTTCAGAATTTGTCATATTCTTTGTTCATATATATTGGCTTCTTTTTAGTTTTAAAAGGATGAATAAAATCTTTTTTCCATAGAAAATGAAAGAGTTTCAGAAAAGAAAGGTCTGCAGTTGATTTCTTTTCTTTAAAAGTAGGTGGGACAAAAGTACATGAATTTATATGGGCAGAAGTGGATTGATGGGGAAGTAATAATTCTTAGTTATCTACCATATTCTGGGCATTATTGTAGACATGTCTTTCATTTAATCTACACTGTGATCCTTTTAAGCAGTGTTTATAAGTGACTAATTTTTAGATAATACTCCCATCCTGACACAGCAGGTAGCAGCTTATTCATGCAACAATCTGATATAGGTTTATTGCCACACTTTGGGAACTCTTATTTCTCTTTCACTGTAAAGGTCTTCAATTTACAAGTTACTGAAGAGAGATTGTTCTTATATTGTTTCTTAGTAGATCCAGCTCTTGTAGTTGACTAAAATTTGGTCCAAATATTTCTTTTCCTATTATGCTAATATTTGCCTTCAGACTATACCTTATGGTGATATCAATATCAACACCAATGCTAGTACAACATCAGTAACAATATGAACACTAACATAACTAATATTGATATACCATTACAAACATGAATAGCAATATTGACATCAGTAACGATACCAATACCAATGACAGCACAAAATACAATTAAAGTATCAGTATTTGTATTTTATGTCAAAGACAAAGATAACTCATTTTATCTGCATTAAATTATCACAATAAATATATATTGCCATTACTATCGGCATCTATTATAAGATGAAGAAACTGATGCTCAAAGACACCAACTAACTCATTCAATGTCTTACAGTGAAGTGGCAGAATCAGAACTGGTTTTCAAATCTGTCTGATTGTAACAAATAGAATGCACTACAGTCTTTTTGAAACCACTTCTGAATATTTTAAGAACAGTGTAGTCTCTATTCTTTTCCCCATGTAGGCTTTCTTCTTAACATTAAACAGATGTAAGCCTCCTTTCAGCTCCCAGAAAAAGATTAAGATATTCATTAAATTTAATTTGAATTTTCCACTCAAATTGCAGAAATATTCATTGCTGATTGATTTTTTAACAATATGTGTAATTGCTCATCTAGTACCTCATTAGGCTTTCAGTGGGCCATGGTTCTTCAGCCATGGTTGAAAAATATTTTTGAAGCAACACATATTTATATTCTTGGCACTTGAACTTTGGATCATAGGTGACTTTTTGCTAATCTGGTAACACCTAGCTATTAGCATAAGAACCCTCCCGTTAGAGTCATGACCCTAGTCACCACAGTGATTCAAGCATCGCACTTTTTCCTTCTAGACAAACTTGTGTTCACATCATTTAGTATAGTCAAAGGAGTCAGTTTTGTCTCCCAGTTATCTCATACATTATAGGCTTTTCAGTGTTCAAATCACCACTTTGAGAGAAATATTCATGTCCATGTAGTTCCTCTTTACCTTTACCTGAAGCCAGCAAACCAGAGTAGTGGTGCATAGACCCATTTCCTTCATTTATCTTTTGTAACCTGTTATAGCATAACAAAGGAGGAAAACAACTACAATTTTCAGGTATATGGACAGATGTTGATAAGATCAAATCAAGATGGAGTCCTCAGACTTTGATTATCTCCAAGGAATCTCAAATAGTCATTTACTCAAATGTGATTAGCTCCCATTATGGTCTCAGAGCCCATTGTCAACTGCTAAAAATAATTTCCTCTCTGTTTCCAATTGACAATGGAGCATATAGTCTGTTCTTTCAGTTATTTCACAGCTTGCCAAACTACTACTAGATTTGTTCTAGGTATGCTTTATTTTTTCCTAACTAGTATCTTATTCTCTCTGCCTTTATAACTCTTCAAGAAAGCTGTTTGTTCTATCTTCAATTTTTTTTAAAAAATAACTGTCATTCATTGCTCAAATTTCTCAAAAAATCACATGCTTTCTCTTTTTGAGAAAGCCATTATTTATATTCTACTTTACTTGTTTTTTCTTTTGCATAGTACTTCTCATTTGGAACCTACTAGACGATACAATCATTTTCATATTTCTTGATTAATATCTGTCTCCTCCCATTAGATGTAAGTTTACACAAGCAAAGATCTTGGTTTCCACATATATTTTAATCCCCAGTCTCTACAATAGTAACTGAATACAAACCGGTACTCAATCAATACTTGATAAGTGAATGGATGGCTGAGTATCTCATCCATTTTCTTCTGTTTATGAAAACTTTAAAAATCATGTTTGATGATCTGTAAACAATTTAATCTACTTTTCTCTACTTTCCCAAACATTTGAATGTATTTAAAGATAAATTTTAAAAATGATATGGTGGTGATTACAAGTAAAATATTGAGTCTAGGATGAAAAGTTTGTGTAGTGTGACAGTTAATAAAAGCTCTCCCATTGTGATGATAGCTGTATTTGGCAAGAGTAAAAGTTAAGATTTGATGAACAGGTTCTAGATGGGGAAAATAACAAAATGTGGAGAACTAGAGACATGTGGAGAAGTAGAAATTAGTATGGCATTCAGGAAGGCAGCAAGAAGACAGGATTGAAGGACAGAGTAGAGACAATATTAGTTAGCCAGGGAGGAGCCAGAATGAATGGCTGAGGGCTCTGACCAAAACACTTTGATCTTAGAAAAGAAATAAATAAGCAAATAAGCTCTTGATTAGGGAAATAGAATGATAAAGATGTTAAAGAAAGATTAAGGTCTTATCATCACTTGCTACTTATAATTTGATATATATGGTGTACTAACAGAAAATTGAGTTAATAATTTTTAGTAACCACTTCATGCCAGTTTGTGTCCTGCATGCTTTAAATATTTAACTTAACTAAAAAGTAATCATGCAATAGAATGACTTTTTCAGCGCAAAGTACATTAGCCTCCCACTCTTACAGGCAAAATTAGAACTCATTTCATAACCTATTACTTTTGTAGATATGGTCTGTTGAGTTCTCCAATATATTTCAATGTTTTATGAAATTGCACCAACTACACTGATAATATTAATTTACACCTGTTTTTTTCTTTAAACCAAGCATATTTCCTACTAGAGGGTTCCATATTTGAGCATGTTTTGAGGGCATTTAACATGTGTTTTCTGAGTAAATCATTGGGTTTATGTTACTGCATGTATATATTTATGTGTGTGCATATATGCATATAAACATAATAAAGTGAAGTATCTATTCTGTATATTACATATTTAAAAGTTGTCAAGAGTATAGAGTTACACTGAATTAGTATAGATCTGCCAATTTTCTAAGGTAATAGTCCATATATCCATTTTAGGCAGTTAATAGATGCTTAATTGGATAATGTTAGTGCGTTACCATACTTTTTGCACAAGGAGAATTTAATAAGGAAAGTCATTAAAGAGAGTAGAATTATACTGTGATCAGTTTATCATTAAGGTGATCGGTTCTCCTCTTCCAGTCATTTCCTATGCTCTTTAAGGTATTTGGGGGGAATTCTTAGGCATATCACCTGAATGTCCCACCATAATTTTTGGCTCTTTTTCTAAGAAAGTTAATATAACTTTGGCCTCTGCTTGAATTTTTATTCAGAGAATAGGTATATATTTTTCTCTGTGTCTTCTAAGAGCAGTACAATGAATGTGAGTTAGATATAATGAAAATGTTCTTGACAGTGTTAGCTGTTAAACATTGGAATAAGTTATAACAGGGGAAGATTAGAGGGCTTTAAAAATGAGATGAATCATCATCTTAATAACAGCATAAAAGCAACATAGGAAATGTCATTCAAGATCAGAACAGTGGTCTATTCAGCTGCTACTTTTTCTGTAACCTAAATATCTAGAATGTAGTAGTTTCCTTCCCCAACAGTCACCTTACAATAATGTAACTCAAGTATTCTTAGTTTCACTTTAATATGTTCCTGAGAAGTGAATTTAATCTACCTTAAGCCTGTTCATCTTTTTATACAGTACAAACTCTTTTTGGATATCGAGAATAATTTTCTTTATGATTTTTATACCTAAGCCATTCAGACTTTTTGGAAAGTCCACCATTAATGAATTAATATATTCATTCATACAACTGATAAATATCATTTGAAATATCAGAATATACAATATTGAAGAAACTGACTTAGGCATTATATGAATGCAACATAAATGATATATTTTAATCTGACCTCTAGAGGTATCAGTTAAGAATTGCACTCAGAGCAAGCTGGCATAATAGGAGTTCTTAGGCTTCACTCTTCCCCTACAGTGAAAATTAAACTAGCAATTATCCACAGGCAAAAATACTATCATGAATATCCCAGAACCTGGGAATAAGGCTGAGACACCTCTTTGGACCGCATAACTGAAAAAAGCTGTAATTTAATGGTAATAACAGTTCTTTGACCATGCTGCCCCTCCCCAAGCTGGCACAGCACCAGACATGGAGAATGCCCCTATATCTATGATTTCTATTGTGGAAAAAGTGATTTGGAGGTAGACATTCAGCTTCCCTACTATTCTGGGACTCTACAGGAGGCTCACCTCCATCTTGTCCCATGGGAAACACTGGTAGTACTGGCAGAGCTAGATTACCTGAGGTCAGTTAGAAACAAAGAATGAGGCTGGGGCTCACATCAACTAGCATGTGGATCTTGGTAGTTGTTCTGCATTCTGGTCAATGGAAGTACCACACCAGAGAGACTAACCAACAGTGCCATGCTGCAGGAAACACAGTCCATGGGACTTCCTGATTTGGATCTCTAGCCAGCTTCCTCACACATCCTGGATGTTTTCGTTGGTTTTCTTAGTTAAGAAGCAACTGTGCCAGGCACAGTGGCTCACACCTGTAATCCCAGCACTTTGGGAGGCCGAGGGGAGCGGATCACGAGGTCAGGAAATCGAGACCATCCTTGCTAACGCGGTGAAGCCCCGTCTCTACTAAAAATACCAAAAGAAATTAGCCGGGCATGGTGGCGGGCGCTTGTAGTCCCAGCTACTTGGGCGGCTGAGGCAGGAGAATGGTGTGAACCCGGGAGGCGGAGCTTGCAGTGAGCCGAGATCGCGCCACTGCACTCCAGCCTGGGCCACAGAGCCAGACTCAAATATTACCAGTGGATACAGCATCTGGCCCTGACCAGCCACTGCAGGCAGGAAGTGATCCAACTAAGCCCTGGTTTTCTTAGTAAATATTCTCCATGCTTGAAGGCAATTGCAGGTCAGTGATTACCAGGGGAGAGGGTGTCTTGTTCTGCCCAACCTCAGTTGCTGAGTGGTGACTTCACCAAACTTCGGTGCTCTGCTTAAGCATATGCCAGGCTGGGAAACAAACTCAAGTTCATGCATATCTGTGCCACATAGCCTCTGCCCTGTCCATCCCGTGTGGTCGAGCAGCAACCCAAGATACTTCACTCAGCCTTGGAGTTTAGCACATGGCCTTGCCCAACTACAGGTTCGAAACAACAACATCTCCACTAGGCCAAGAGTGGTAATCTGCAACTTTGCCCAACCAGAGATTATTTGCAGAGCCCAGGCAGCAGCCAAATTTGATGGCAGAGTCCATTCAGTGGTCTTACTAGACCACAGAGCTCAGCCAGCATTACCATTCAACCTCAGAGCACAGGAAGTGACCCAGCCCAGTGGAAGAACCTGACACCAAAGTCTGCCTGTCTATAGCTGCTACTAGCTGGAATTACCTGCAATTATAGGCTAGACAAAATAATAAAGTTCTCTCACCACCAAAAAATACCTGCAAATATTGGAAAAGGTACCTGTCTTATCAAGTGCACAGGTATCAATGTAAGTATACAGGATTATTTAAAATCAGGGAAATGTAACACTACCAAAGGAAGTTAATCAAGCTCCAATAACAGAACCAGAATAAATGGGGATCTAGGAAATGACTGACAATTAATTCTGAATAACTCTCTTAAAGAGTTTTAGAGAAAGCCAAGAAAATGCAGAGAGAAAATTACATAAAATTTGTGAAACAATTTATGAACAAAATGAAAAGTCTGGCCAAAAAAGAATAAGAATTTATAATGATAAAGACTGTAATAAGTGATTTGAAAAATTCAGTAGAAAGCTTCAACAGAAGACATGACTAAACAGAATCAGTGAGCTTGAAATTAGAAAATTTTAAATTATCTAATTAGATGAGCAAAAATAAAACAAAATAAAAAAGAAAGAAATCCTACAGAAATTATGAGGTACCATGAAATTAACTAACTTTTGCATAACAGGAATTTCTGAAAGAGAAGAGGGAGAAAAAGCACTAGCATGTACATTTAAGGGAATAATGGCTGAAAAATTTTCCAAATCTGGGGAAAGATGACAATATCCAGATACAGGGAGCTCAGAGGTTGCCAATCCAGCCCCAAAAAGGGTTCATCAAGGTGCAGCATAATCAAATAATCAAAAATGACAGGCAAAAAAAGAATATTAAAAGTAACAAGAAATTTGCAAAGTCACATTCAAGGGTATCCCAATACAATTTCAGTAGATTTCTCAGCAGAAATCTTGCATGCCAGAGGATAGGGGGATGATATATTCAAAGTGCTAAAGAACAAAAACAAAACCAAAAATACTGCCAACCAAGAATACTTTACCTGTCAATGCTGTCATTCAGAAATGAAGGATAGATAAAAACTTCCCCTGACAAACAAAAGCTAAGGGAGTTTGTCACCACTAGGGCTAGCTTCACAAGTATTGTTAAAGGAAAGTCTTTCAGATAAAACAAAAGACTGCTAATTAATAACAAAAAAGAAAGTGAAAAAACAATTTTTTATGTTTGGTGTAAGTAATACACAGTCATAGGATTATCAAATATTTATGAGTGTTACAAATCAATTTTATGCATACTAGGAGGATTAAAAGACAAAACTATTAAAAATAAATACATTTACAATACAATGTAAAGGATATAAGTTCAAAAGAAAAGCAAATGTAGAATTTGACATGGAAATTATAAAAGATGGGGGATAGAGAATGAAAGTGCAGAGGTTTTGTACATGATTAAAGTAAGTTATTATCAGCTTACAGTAGCCTAAGAATAAGATATTTTATGTAAACCTCATAATAACCACAAAGCAAAAATATATAGTAGTTGCACAAAACATAAAAAGGATGGAGTCAAAGCATTTCACCACATAAACCCATCAGACTAAAAAGGAAAACAGCAAGAAAAATAGACAGGACCTACAAAACAATGAAAAAATAAATTACAACATGGCAGTAGCAAGTCCTTATCTATCAATAATTACCTTGATGTACATGATTATATTCTCCAATAAAAAGTCATAGAGTATTTGAATGGATGACAAAACATGATCCAACCATATGTGGCACACAAAAAACTCATTTTACTAGTAAGGACACACATGGACTGAAAATGGAGGCATAGTGAAAGATATTCTATGCAAACAGAAACTGAAAGAAAACAGGAAAAGCTATGTGTATCTCAGATAAAATATAATGCATATATCAGTCTTGAAGCTACAAATTATGAAAAAAGACAAAGAAGGTCATTACATAATCACAAAAGGGTTAATTCACCAAAACGATATAATAATTGTAAATATGAGGGGACTTCAACAAGTTCATGGGAAAATGGGAATTGAAGATAAAAATATGACATATAAACTTTATTTCTCAACATAAACTTCATCAACTTCAAAATACTTTTGTAAGCAATGATACCAGCCATTTAATTCATCCCTAAAGAACTGAGCGTCCTGGAAATTTAACCTAGTTAATGCAGTCTTTTGTTATTATTAACTGAAGAAAAATGGGTGCCCTTTAAATACTATTGAGATTAGGGAACAAACACAAGTCAGAAGTTGTGAAATCAGGACTGTGGGAAAATGTCTGATTATTTCCCACTGAAACTCTTGTAAAATTTTCCTTCTGTAAAGAGAAAAATGAACAGGAGCATTGTCATGTTGGAGAAGCACTCTGGTGAGGCTTTCTTTGGCATTATTTGTTTTTCTTTTTTTTTCCTTTTAAATATATTTTAAATTTTAGAAGAGTTTTAGATTTACAGAAAATTTGAGAATATAGTACATAGGATTCTCATATACCTCACATTCAGTGTATTGTATTATTAACATCTTACATTAGTATGGTATATTTTTCATGGTTAATGAGCCAATAATAATGCATTATTATTAACTGAAGCCCATAGTTTCCTAGTTTCCTAGTTTTCACTTAATGTCCTTTTTTCACTTAATTTTCCTAGTTTTCACTTAATGTCCTTTTTCTCTTCCAGGATCCTATCCGGGATACCATATTACTTTTAATCATTGTATCTCCCTAGGCTCCTGTAGACTTTGACAGTTTCTCAGACTTATTTTTAATGACTTTGACAGTTTGTTTTCAATATTACAAAAACATATAACTTACAAAAAAATTTTGCTTCAAGGGGAACATGTGCATGTTTGTTCCATGGACATATTGCATTGTGCAGAGGTTTGGACTTTGAGTGAACCTGTCACTAAAATAGTGAACATATTACCCAATGGGTAGATTTTCAACCCTTGCTCCCCTCCTGTCCTCCCACCTTTTGGAGTCCCCAGTGTCTATTCCCATCTTTATGCCCATGTATACCTAATGTTTACTTAGTGCCTCAAACTACATCCTGTTCAGACATGTTATAAGAAATTAGTATGAGTTTACTTTAGTGTAAAAAAAAAGCTTAGAAACCTCTTTGTGCAGTATGGGAAAAAGTAAATAAAAATGAGAAAAAAACACCTTGAAACTCCTGCAGTTTTTTCATAATAGACATTTCCATGAACTTTTTAAATACCCTCATATATGGACCCAAAACTGGAGCACCTAAATAAATAAAGCAATTATTAAGTGATCTGAATGGAGGGATAGACTGCAATACCATAGTAGCCGGGGACTTCAGTACTCCACTTTCAACAATAAACAGATCATCTAGATAGAAAACCAGTAAGGAAGTGTTGGGCTTGAATTACGCTTTAGACCAAATTGACCTAACAGGCATATACAAGACATTCCATACAATAACAGCAGAATACACATTCTTTTCAAGGGCATAGGGAACATTTTATAGGGTAGACTTTATGTTAGATTACAAAACAATGGTTAACAAATTTATAAGAATTGAAATTATATCAGGTATCATTTTGGATAATAATGACATGAAACTAAAAATCAACGAAAGGAGAAATCTAGGAAAATACAAAAATATCTGGATATTAAACCACATATTCCTAAATAACTAATGGGTCACAGAATAAATTAAAAAGGAATAAAAATTATATTGAGACAAATGAAAATGGAAACACAACATACTAAAATTGATGGTATGTGCAAAAATATTCCTGAGAGAAATTTATAATAACAGGTGCCTAGATCCAAAAAAAGATAACAAATAAACAATCTAATGTTACACCTCAAATAACTAAAAAATAACAAACTGAACCCAAAGTTAGCAGAAGGAAGAAAATAACAAATGACAGAAACAAATAAAAGGGAGAATAGAAAAACAATAGAAGAAAATCAATAAAACTAAGAGATTTTAAAAAGGTAAACAAAATTCACAAAGCCTTAGCTAGACAAACTAGGAAAAAAGAGAAACTACTCAAATAAATGATACCAGAAATGAATGAGGAGACATTACAACTGATATCTCTGAAATCTAAAATTCTAAGAAATGACCACGAATAAGTATACACCAAAAAATTGTACAGTCCAGAAGAAATGATTATCTAGACACATATAATTTACCAGGAATGAATTATGAATACACAGAATATCTGAACAGACCAATAACAAGTAAGGTGATTGATTAAATAATTTAAAATGTCTTCCATCAAAGAAAAGCCCAGAACCCAGACTTCAGTGCTGAATTATACCAAATATTTAAAGAAAAACTAATATTAATTCTTTGTAAACTCTTTCAAAAAATTGAAGTGTAGGGAATATTTCCAAATGCATATTATGAAACAAGCATTACCCTAATACCAAATCCAGGCAAATCCACAAGAAAAACAAGTTATAGGCCAATATCTCTGTTGAACATAGATGTAAAATTCCTTAAAATAACATTAGCAAATCAAATTTAAGAACACAGTTACAGGATCACTCACCATGATTAAGTGGAATTTGTCCCTGGATGCAAGAATGGCTCAACACATGCAAATCAATAAATGTGATGTAATACCTTTAAAAAACAAAAGATAAAAACCATATGATTATCTCAACAGATGCAGAAAAAGCATTTGACAAAATTTAGGACCATTTCATAATAAAAACTCAATAGATTAGGTATAAAGGGAATGTCCCTGAACCCAATAAAGGAGATATATCACAAACCTGTAGCTAACACTCCTAATGGTGAAAAGTTGAAAGTTTTTATTTCAAGGCCAAGAACAAAAGAAAGATGCTTAATCTCACCACTTTTTTTTCAATATAGTACTGAAAATTCTAGCTAGAGCAATTAGATAAGAAAGAAATAAGAGGCATCCTAATAAAAAGAAGTGAGATCATCTTTATTTGCTGATGGCATGATCACATATGTAAAAAATTCTAAAGACTCCACCAGAAAACTGTTAGAGCTGACAAAATAATTCAGTAGAACACAAAATCAACATACAAAAATTAGTATTTCTACATGTTGAATCTTATCTGTAAAGGAAATTTTTAAAATATCCCATTTATAATAGCAACAAAAAATTAAATACTTTGGTATAAATGTAATCAAGGAGGTAAAAAACTTGTATACTGAACAATGAGAACACATGGACACAGGGAGGGGAACATCACACACCGCTGGGTGCGCCTGTCGCGGGTGGAGGGCTGGGGGAGGGATAGCACTAGGAGAAATACCTAGTATAAATGATGAGTTGATGGGTGCAGCAAACCAACATGGCACATGTATACCTGTGTAACAAACCTGCACGTTTTACACATGTACCCCAGAACATAAAGTATAATGAAAAAAAAAAGAAATTGCAAACTGATTTATCATAACATAAAAAAAACTTGTATACTGAAAATTACAAAACATTGATGAAAGACACTGAAGAAAACACAAATAAACAGAAAGATATCCAATGTTCATGGGTTGAAAACATTAATATTTTGAAAATATGTATAAAAATCCAAAGCAATATACAGATTCAATGAAATTCCTATCAAAATGCCAATGTCCTTATTCACAGAAATAGAAAAAGCAATCTTTACATTTGTATGGAATTATAAAAGACCCCAAATAGTAAAGAGTCGTGAGCCAAAACAATAAAACTGAAGGCATCACACTCCCTCATTTAAAAACATATTATAAAGTAATTGCAATCAAAACAGCATGAATGGTAGTGGCATAATAACCAACATATTGATCAGTGAAACAGGATAGAGATACCAGAAATAAACCCATAGAATTCTAGTAAATTGATTTTTGATGGAAGTGTTTTTGATACCCTTGGAGAAAGGAAAGTCTCTTCAATAAATGTCATTGGGAAAACTGGATATCCACAAGCAGAAGAATGTAACTGGACCCTTACCTCTCACCATATATTATAATCAACTCAAAATGGATTAAAGAGTTAAATGTAATCCCTGTAACTGTATAACTACTAGAAGAAAACATAGGGGAAGTGCTCTACAACATTGGCCTGGGCAAAGATTTTTTGGTTATAATCCCAAAAGCATAGGCAACAAAGGCAAAAACAAACAAATGGAATTGTATCAAACTAAAAAAGCTTCTTCACAGCAAAGGAAACAATTAATAGAATGAGGAGATAATTCATGGATTGGGAGAAAATATTTGAAAATAATACATCTGATAAGAAGCTAATATCCAAAACATACAAGGAATTTAAAACAACTGAACAGCAAGAAAACAAATAACTCGATCAACTAATGAATAATTTACCTAAATAGACACCTCTCAAAATAAGACATACAAATAGCCAACAAATATATTTAGAAAAATGATCATCATTGATAATCGTTGAAATGTACATTAAAACCACAAAAAGATAGTTCCTCACATCTGTTAGAATAGCTATTGTAAAAATGATGAAAGATAGCAAGTGTTGGCAAGGGTGTGGAGAAAATGGAGCCCTGTGTATCGTTAGTGGGAATGCAAATTAGTATAGTTATTATGAAAAACTCTATGGAGGTTTCTGAAAAAACTAAAAATAGAACTACCATATGATCTAGTAATCTCACTTCTGGGTATATATCACAAACAACTGAAACCAGAAAATTGAAGGGATAACTGCACTCCCTTGTTTATTGTAGCCATATTCACAATGTCCAAGATATGCTGTCGACTCAAGTGTTTATCAGTGGATGAATGGATAGAGAAAATGTGATATATATACACAATAAAATGCTATTTCACTTTTAAAAATGAGGAAATCCTGAACATGGATGAATATGGAAGAAATTATGCAAAGTGAAATAAGACAGGCACAGAAAGACAAATACTTTATGATCTCCCTTATATGTGAAATGTAATAAAGTCGAACTCATAGAAGTAGAGAGTACAATGATAGTTACCACTGACAGGAGAAATTGGTTTTAATATTTATATCACAGCAGGGTGGCTATAGTCAACAGTAATGTATATTTCAAAATAACTAAGAGTATTTTGAAACATCTCACCATAAAAAATGATAGGTAAGTGAGGGGATAGACATGTTAACTAGCTTGATTTAATAATTCCACATTATATATATATATCAAAACATCATATTTTACCCCCAAATATATATAATTATAGATTTGTCAATTAAAATTATATGAATAATACATTTTAAAAATTAAGTAATCAGAGCTACAATAGGATTTTAATTCTGCCATTATGTTGTGGTAATAATTTCAGATTTTTTTTTTTTTTGAGACAAGGTCTCAATCTGACATCCAGGCTGGAGTTTAGTGGCATGATCTCAGCTCACAATCTCTGCCTCCTGGGCACAAGTCATCCTTTCACCTCAGCCTCCCGAATAGCTGGGGCTATAGGTGTGCACCACCATGCACAGCTAATTTTTCTTTATTTTTAGTAGAGATGGGGTTTTGCCATGTTACCCAGGCTGGTCTTGACCTCTTGGGCTCAAGAGATCCACCTGCTTTGGCCTCTTAAAATGCTGGGATTACAGTCTGAGCCACTGTGACTGGCTTGATATTCTTTTTAAATAAAAAATTGTTATGACATTAAGAAAAAAAAATTGCAGTCAGCTCTGAGAACAAAGTCCCACAACATTAGCTTAACAAGATGGAATAGTTTTTCAAAAGAATATATGAAAGCATGCTGTGAAATCTGGGAATAGGCTCCCCATAGTGGTACAGCATGTCTATTGTATCATCAGGACTCAGGATCCTTCTATTCTTACACTTAGCCTTTTTAAGGATATACTTATTGCCTCTTAGTTATAAGAGAGCAGCTGAAGCTACACTCTTCACAGCTATATTCAAGGGAGGAGGAAGGTAAATGGCAAAGGACAAAAATTGCCTGCCAGATGTCAGCCTCTTTTTAAAGAACTTTTGCCTAGAGCCTACTCAATAAATTTGGCCAGAACATAATCACATGGTGTCTTAATCTGTTTGTGTTGCTATAAATGAATACCTGAGGCTGGGTAATTTATAAAGAAAAGAGGTTTATTTGGCTCATACTTTTGCAGATTGTACAAAAATCATGACAGCAGCATCTGGTGAGGGCCTGAAGCTTCTTCCACTTGTGGTAGAAAGAGAAGAGGAGCTGGTATGTGTAGAGATCACATGGGTAGAGAGGAGAAGGCAAGAGAGAGAGAAAGGGGAGTGAGGTGCAGGCTCTTTTTAACAATCAATTCTCATGGGGACTAATAGAGCAAGAACTCACTCTTTACCTTGAGGACAGCATCAAGTCATTCATGAGGGATCTGCTCCCATGACACAAACCTCCTGTCAGGCCTCAACCCCAACATTGGGGATCAAATTTAAACATGAAATTTGGAGGGGCCAAATATTTAAACTATATCACATAACCATCCTTACTTCAAGGTGGCTAAGAAATATTGTTTTTAACTGGGGAGCATTTCCACTGCAAATAAAATTGGAATCCAGTTAATAAGGAAGCGAACAAGAACAGATATTAGCTAAGCAATGAAAAGGTCCATACTACATCCTCTACGTATGTACTCCATGCTCATTGCACTGGAGTTTCTCACCATTTGTACACTATTATGTTCATATTTCACTGCCTTTGCTTCTTTTTTGCTCTTTCCTGAGACTAAAATGTGCCTGTCCTATTTACTACCAGTTGAAATCACAACTGTTTTTGAAGGTACATCTCCACACCTTCTCTATAAAACATTTTTCATCTTCTTCCTCAAAATTCTTTACTCTCTTTTCTATTCTCCTAAATATTTTCTTCTTATCATACAGTGCCTATCCAGAGTAATGCAAATTACATGAGTTTCACATATTGTCTTTCTCCAGGATGTTTTTAACTATCAGAGATCAGGAACTTATTCTATTTATTTTTGTGTCACATATCAGTACCTGGTATATAATAGTTATTTAATATATTTTTAGAATTAAATATATAAGCTACACTGTAAAGAAATTTAATGTTTGGTAGGGGAGACAACCTGCTTTTATAAATAACATAATGAAAGAATTAATTTGGGAACAGCCAGGCAGGGTCCACAGGAAGTACAGTGGGAGTTATCCCTAAATTTTTTCAAGAGCTGACATGAAGTATGTATATTCCTTATTCCCTTGGTCATTTTGGTGTTACATTTGTCATTGATATGGCAGCCCTGACTCTAGATCTTTGTTTTCTCAGCTATTCTTTCTCCATATAGTCTTTAATCTCTGTCAATTTCTGACTTCTTTGTTCTTAAGTAGGTACTCAGCTCTCTTACAGTAAAATCAACCATTTTTTCTTTTGATATTATTTTGCTTTTTAGTTTCGTGGTTTTTCTAAAATCTTACATTCATCAACTGTTCTGCTTATTTTTTGTTTCCTCTTCAGATCAAGTCTTCAATCTTCTCCACTATGAATGGATTATACCAATGGGTTTGCAAGCCCTCAGGTGTCACTTAGGTTTGGTCAAAAGGAGATTATAACGAAAACAGAAATTGGAGTGGAATATTCGTTACCTCAAATCTTGATAAGTCAATTTAGGCTACTATGTCTTTTGACTAT
The DNA here is from genome assembly GCF_000001405.40 of Homo sapiens. Classification (NCBI taxonomy): domain Eukaryota; kingdom Metazoa; phylum Chordata; class Mammalia; order Primates; family Hominidae; genus Homo; species Homo sapiens. The sequence continues at coordinate 84,462,194 of NC_000005.10, forward strand.
GGTTCACTGCATCTTTCAAGGCAACCTGGTTTTTCTGACATCCATCCAGGGTTCTTTACTGTTCTCTCAGCCTTTAGCCTCTTGGAGTGGTAAGAGTTTCGTCATGGCTCCCCAAAACCTGCTCCTGCAGTTGTAATTATTCTTCCTGTAAATAAACCCTTTTAAAACCTGATGGGATACTAGGATACTACTGTGCATATTTTCACAACATGAATTTCTTTCTTAACTCTATACAACCTGAATTGCCTTCTTTTCTCTTTAGTAAGGTAATTTATTGCTACATAACAATGATGACAGATAGAACTCTGAAAATCGAGTCCAACCCAAATACTCTTCTTTAAGAAAAATGATGCTTGATACGAGGACTTCTGTGAGTTGGTGAATGAAAGCTTTAGACTAGAAACAGGCCATAAGCCTATGGCACAATATCAGTGAATGATTAAGCTGTTATTTTTTTTTTAATCAGAGGAAAGCGATGCAAAAATGGTCAAGTAATTTGAAACAATCTAAGGCTTCCATACTACAGATTTTAGTTGGATGCCAAGCATTTCTCTATATTCTAACAGCATGTTCCTTAAACATCAATGCTTGGCTATACCATAGCTTATCAATGGAGAAATTAGTTACTTTACTAAAATATATATCATTTAACCTCATTAATTATGACATAGTTTTTACCCTAGAAACCTGACAAGATATAAAATTGTAGATAAATTTTATATACTACTTGAAAAATGTAAAATAGTTAAAAATCATAGATAAGATTGCATAAATGAGTTTCACTAGTTTTAATTCTATTATGTATAATTCTATTAAATTTTCTTACTTAAACAAAATAAAAAACTAATTATAAAAATGAAAATAAAACGCCAACTCATAATTAATATTATTTGATGATATTGATGTTACTAAATTAACTAGATAACTTACATTTTAAAACATTTAGCTAAATTATTCTATATCTGTAATTGGATTTTTAGAATAATCATAAGAATAATATAAAAGTAAATTAGAATCTTGTGCTGACTGTTTTTACTGCTATATATGATCGATGGAAAATTGGTAGGAGACAAGATAAAATAAAGATTAAATTTTTAAGATCCTCCTTCTATAGTGCTACCTAGACAATAGTTCTAGACTAATTGATCACAGTTTTCCTTTAGCTACCTTGACCTGGTAGCATTTCTCTTGTTCTCTCCATTGAGAACACATGTGTAATATACCTTGGGAAGAACATCTGGAAAGACATACACTGAATTTTAATAGTAGTTACCCTTGGGTGGTAGAATTTTACATGGTTCTATTATTTTTCTTTTGGTTCATTTGCATTTCTGATTTTTATCTACAATGTATGTATGTTTCATGTAAAATTAAAAAATAGTCAAAAATCTCAGAATGTTCAAGAATTGCTTATGATAATAACATATGCAAACAAGTCAGAATTAGACCTGAGCTGCCTCTTTCTATTAAAGTCAACATTTAAATTTCATTGATTTTAGAATTTACTTGAACTTAACTTGATTCAACTTAGAACACCCTGGTGAGCATCTATTATGTGTCCTAGGTACCATGCTAGGCCCTGAATAAAGATGGAGAGATGCAATTTCTATCCTGGAGGCAGCAATAGAGATATGACAAATTTTAATGAAAGTGAAAGAGAGAGTTGGTCTAGGATGAGCCCTACTCTAGAGGTGTACAATTAAACTACAGATAGACCATTATTACTTTTTATTTTTCTTTTGGGAAGTGACTTTTAAGGATTTTTTTTTAAATAGCAATATTAACCTGAATATTTAACGATGAATAAATCTTAGCATAAAAAAGGATAGAGCAGCATAGAAAGAATACATGGATTTTTAATGTGGAGAAGAAATACTCAGATGACACCACATTTTAGTGCCCTTCAAATATGTGTCTGACTATAATATAGAAGAGGAAATAGATACGCTATGTTGCTTTAGGCAGCAGGACTAGGGCATATCTCTCTTTTTAAAATCACCTATTGTTGGTTATGTCTGTGATTTATTCCAATGCTTTGGTAAGATACAAAACTTTAAAACACTATATTGCTATTGGAGAAATGAGCCATTTTATGAATACCACTTTTTGACACAGTTTTTAGGAATTATTTGCCATCAAAATACAGGTTGCTCTTACATATACATACACATAATTTAAATCAAGCCCACCTCAGTTTAATATGTGTCTTAAAAATGTGCATCTTTGATCTTAGTTTTATGTGCAAAGTAACATGATGCCAATTGTCTGTAACATTACAGACTGAACAGATGAGGAAAACTAGAAAATTGGAAATTGTTACTGAGTAAAATCTGTTGAATAATTTATGTTGATAAATGTGAAGAGTCTCAGAGATTGTTCTCTTTCTGCTATTTTCATCAATGAACTTAATACAGAAACAATCAGAGTCAGAAACTTTCAACTGTAGAAATGAGAAAGTTTACAACAACAAGAAATCAACAACAAAACTTTAATCTGTGTTGTGATGCTCACAAACAGATAAAAGTTTACATACTATCTTTAAAGCTTGAGTTACGAGTCCAAGTTTGAATTCAGGAATTTGGATAAGTGTTTTGAGCTTCCATTTGTGATTCTTCAATCTGAAAAAATAGAGTTTACATTAAGATAAGAAGAACCCATTATGAGGAAGCAAACCCTTTAGGAACATATGCAGGTTTAAATGGAATTTATTAAATATGCTTTGTGTTTGTCTATGCTACAAAGACTTCAAAGTCTATGGTATAAGAAATGAAAAATGAAATAATATAGCTCTTGGAAAAAAGAGTGCTTTCCTATAAATACCAATTATAAGCAAACATGTAATTTTTAAACTAGAATGTGTTAGAATTCTAAGAGAAAGCTGTGGTTTGAGTTTTCTGATTAATTGAAGATGAACTTAATGTTTTGCAAATTTCCTAAGCTATGATTAGAAAATACCTTAATAAGATGGGCAAAGCATAATTACATTTGTCTGTAGTTGATTTTATTGAAGTAACTCAGATTAAATATCCTTAGTTTGAAACATGCTTATATTCTATAAATTTAGGGAAGAAGCAGTATGTGCTGGTACTGTTCCAGGTATTAAAAAAACAAGATAAAGAACAAACTATCAGATAATGAAGGACAGTGCTATAGTAGTAGAAGGCATATAGTAGAAGGCATCAGAAATTAGACTGAATTCATTCCACAATTATGTATGAGCTACTATTTGCTCGTTATTATTCTGGGTGCTGGAAGCATAGCAGGAAACAATATAAAAAGGCAAAACAGAACAAACTACCTTGACAAAAGCTATTGCTGAGGGAAGAATCAGAGGACATTACATGAAAAGGACTTAATTTGACAGTGAGAAGATAAAGGATATCACCTGTAGTCACTTCTATTTTATCAGAGAAATAGTAATTAAGATAATCAGAAGAGAACGTGGTAGAAGAAGATTGTTGGTGGTGTGAAGAGAGAGAGAAAGGTACAAAATACTGATGTAGGAGAGAGGGTTGTAGGATTGACTGACAGCACTAAAGACCTATTAAAGCTCTGTCACCATAAATTGACTTTGAGCATGCTTGTATTTTTATTTTTTATTTTTTTTATTTATTTTTTTTGAGACAGAGTCTTGCTCTGTGGTCCAGGCTGGAGTGCAGTGGCGCGATCATGGCTCACTGCAACCTCCGCCTCCCGGGTTCGCGCCATTCTCCTGCGTCAGCCTCCTGAGTAGCTGGGATTGCAGGCAGCCACCACCACGCCTGGCTAATTTTTGTATTTTTAGTAGAGATGTGGTTTTGCCATGTTGGCCAGGCTGGTCTTGAAATCCTGACCTCAGTTGATCCGCCTGCCTCGGCCTCCCAAGGTGCTGGAATTACAGGCATGAGCCACCATGCCAGGCTGCTTGTATGTATTTCTTAAAGCAGATGTGAAATATAAAGTTAGTTGGGATTTTCCTCAGCAAATTTAATGGAGCAGATAAAGGAAGGTGGGAGGATCTATGCAGAAATAATTATAATTGTTCTCATGGAATCTAAGCCAGATAAGGAGGGGACTGAGGCAAAGATGGAGTTGCAGGAGAATGAGAATGTGGTAGGATCAATGAATTGAAGGTTTTTGTGGAGTCAAGGAATTATTGAATTAGGATACTAGAGAGAGTGAGCTGAAAAGACACAAAGTTATAAATGGAGAGTTGGATGCTTACAATTTTAAGTATAGACAGGGAACAATTATTAGGAATAACAAGCTCTAAAGACTGATTATGATAATTGGTTGGCTGTGAAAGGAGACTAAGATTATTAGAAATGAGGAGAATCAGAAAGCAAAACCCAGAATTTTGTGAAGGTCGGTTACAGAGAAATTGAATTAATCAGAAGGTATTCGCACTGGTCCAAGGCCAAAGTTTGAGAGAATATTCAAATAATCTTGCTTATTATTCTTTTTCCTTAAAATTAAAGCACTTAAGACTATTCTAACATACTAGATATTCAAATATATTAATACATGGGCATATACTTAGGTGTGAATTCAAGATAATACTAGATGGTCTTTTTCTTATGCCATGTCCAATGTCAGCATGGTGACACATGCAAAGAAACTCTGACTCTGAAAACATTGAAGAATGCAGAAACTTTTAAATCCAGGTTTTCTTGAAGAATATTATATCAAAGGAAGTACAGCACACAACCTTCATCAAAAGTTTCTAAAAGTTCCCTTAAATTACATTTTTGTTCATTTTTTTTCCCTTAACTGCCTTTCCCATCTATGCTAGTTCACTCCTTTTTCTTATTGTATAACATCTTTTGCTCTTTGGTCACCCTGACAAAGCTGTAAGGCAGTTGGGGGCTCCGGTACTTCTGCCATTTGTATCTTCACCCATAATGCATTGTAGATCATACATTTTTTTAAAAAGGCATGAGAGGGAAAAAAAGTCATAAATACTTAGACTTACATGTATTTAGTCCCCACGATATGTGTTTATGTATATATAATGTGCATACATATTTGTGTGTGTGAGAGTTTATTCAAGGACATGAGATATAGTGATTTACCTCAATTGTTGAGAACCAGAAATGTGAGGGGAGTAAAACTTTATTAAATGACAGATATTCAAGTAACATTGGGAAGATTACTGTAAATAAATAAATGAGAAATTGAGTTTGACATTTGCATGATGAAATATGAAACACATTTTCAATAATTTCAGTGATCCCTTAAATAACATTCAGAAATGTTAGCTGACCTAAATTTCCATTTGGCTAATGACTTTCTTTGCAGAGCATATGACAAACTGTGGCATATGTTGTTGAGCATATGCCACAACACTAGCAATACATCAGTAAATTCCACCTTTCATGAGTTTTTGTATATTTATACCTAAAACTATGAAAAAGTCTCTGGGTACAATAGAAATGGACACAATCTCTTATAGAACCAAGAGAGAATATTAATGTTTAAAGCATTCATGTATTTGAATATAATGTAAAACACAGGGCGGTATACTCTCATTCATCATTTTTAGGTATAAACAAAATAACCTTCAGAAGTCCATACAAATTTTTTTTAAATAAAAAGTACTTGTGAAGCCCAGAGGATTTTAGTAGGCCATATGTTGCTTTTTACTTTTTCCTAAACAGGGTTAAATCCATAATAAATAATGCTAGTATTTTCTCCCATACCTTCTTAGGTTTCTCAATAGGAAATGATAAATAAGAAATAGGCAGAGAGGAGAAAAAAATGCTTGAAGCACATGTCAATTTTCAATTCAAATGCTGTGAGCTTAAATTTTATTAGTTTATATACTTGAATATCCATTAGTTTATAATTAGGTGCTCTGTTCACTGAATGATATAAGATCTTTCTAAATTGAGCTTTTAGAAATAGTTTGGTATTTTCATGAAAAAAATAGTACTGTATTGGTGAATATCTATTACTGTAGGCAGAAATTATGTGATTTCAAAGAAAAGAAGCAACACAAGTTAGCTCCTGAAATAGGGAAGATACTTGACAGGTGCATACCATATTACTCAAGTAAAAGCAGCTGAGTCTCCCTAAGGCCCAGAGTTAGACAGTTGCCATTCATTGCCATTCATTCATATTCTCTTTCTCTCTTTCTCTCCCACCCGCCTCCTCTGGGGCGCACCTGCCTCTGCAACCCTATCTTGGGCTAAATACTGTCTTATTTCTGGTTACCACTGCATATCTGCCTCTTTTACTTTCTCTTTCTAGATAAACTCATTTAAATTTACTCATCAATGTCCCAAATATGGCTGTCTTGGTGAAGTCTTTTACACAGCTTCTAGTTTAAGGACCTAGCAATGCCAAAGTAGAAACTGAGTTGCAAATTCAGCCACTTTCATTAGCTGAGCACCCCAGCACCAGTGAATTATGACATGGAAAGGGGTACACAGAATTCGGTAAAGTGGTAGATAACCCTGGGAGCATACTTTCTTGGATCAGTGATACAGATTGTTAAAATTCCCATTTAAGACCAGTGATACAGACGGTTAAAATTCCCATTTATTTCTATTTTAGAAAAGTCAAGAAAGTTCCTTATTCCATGCACCCTTGTACAGTTGCCTGTAGAATTCCCTAGAATTTCCTATTCAGAAATCCATTTCTTCTGGGGGAAAACACAATTTCAAAAACCTTAGAGGATGGTAACAACTGATAAAACAACTGTGAAAAAATACATGTTTGTTTGAATGGACCCATTTATCTGCTTATAATAATTTATAATTACAAAGAGCCTTAGACATAATCTAATCTCACTCTTTGTTTTGTAGGGGAACAAAGTACTTTGCAGAGATTGAAGGGCTTGCTCAAGTTCATTTGTTTGGTTATTTTGTAAAAGTCAAGACTAAAATCGGGTTTTCTTGACTTCAAGATAAATACTATTTCCACTATACCAAAGTGTTTCCATTTTAAAACTCAGTTTGATCAATGTGCCAAGGAAACTGGAATTTTGTTGCATTGGAAGTATTTGTGTTATTTTTCTATTGTTGCTACGATAAATTGCAACAAATTTGTTATCTTACAGTTCTGAAAGTCAGATGTGTAATGCAGGTCTCATTGGGCTAAAATCAAGGTGTTGGCAGGTGGTGTTTCTTTCTAGAGGCATTAGGGGAAAATTCACTTACTTGACTCTTCCAGCTTGTAAAGGCTGCCCAATAACTTTGCTTTAAAGTCACCTTTCATCTCCAATCTCTACTTCCATCCTCACATCTCCTTCTCATTTTCTTCCACTTTTAAAGACTATTATCATTACATTGAACCCACCTGGATAATCCAGACTAATTTCCCTATTTTAAGATCAGCTGATTAGTAGCCTTAATTCCACATGAAACATTAAGTCTCCTTTGCTCTACAACCTGAAGTATTCACAGGTTGTTAGGATTACAATATGCAATCTTTGAAGTCTGTGCTTATCCTTCTCCTGTCTTCTGTAATTTGAACTGATGATCACTCCCTTTGGAAGGTAATTATTAGGTCAGGATACTCCTTGACTCAACTCATTTCTGACTTTCTCTTGGAGATCCTTCTTGATCTCTGCTGATACTGCAGCCCACTTTGTAACTGAGTATGTGTGAAATATAAGTAGTGACAGCAAAGGAGGAAAGAAGAAATTATGAAGCACATTACCACAGTGCATGAAACAGACTTGGGTGCCATTCTGGCATGGGGACTGTGGTCAATTAGAAGGGTGATTTCAGGTAAGATTAACATTTAAATTAGTAAACCCTGGGGAGAGCAGACTGCCTTTCATTGTGTAGGTGAGTCTTACCCAATCAGCTGAAGGCCTGAATAGAACAAAAAGACTAACTTCTCCAAGAAGGGTGAAATTTTTTCATCAGACTGTTTTGAGACTTAATCTGCACCATCAATTCTCCTAGGTCTCCAGGCTGCCGGTCCTTAGGACTGGAACTACATCATTCACTCCCCTGCATCTCCAGCCTACTGGCACACACAGCAGATTTTGAACTAGTCAGCCTCCATAATTGCATGAGCCAATTCTTTATAATAAATCTCTCTCCTCTCTCTCTCTCTCTCTGTACACATACACACACACACACACCCCTATTGATTCTATTTCACACATACGCACACAAACACACACAAACCTATTGATTCTGTTTCTCTAAAGAACCCTAATACAGGTGGTCTTTAGCATCCACAACATAATCTGGTGGTATTTATTCTTACTTTATATCAGTCTTCAAAAAGCATTACCTCACTTTGAATCTTTCTAGCCAGCAAGATTTTTTTTTCAAGGCTTTAAACTTTATATTCTCTCTCTCCATACATGGTTTTCTTGCCTTTCTATTCTATCACTCCTAACTGTGACTCTACTGTTTATCTTCACTGGAGCATAGAATCCTTTAATGATACTTTTCACCCAACTTTACAGAGACCACTAACCCTCTTCTGTTTGTTCTTGAGCCATATCCAGCCATCTCTCCTTGACTGGAAATTTCTATATCATAATCTCTAATCTTTTGAAAAAAACTGATTTTAACCATTGCAATATTCAACTGTGAATTATCCCCTGAAACTGTATTTGGTTTAGTTCTTTTCCTTATTACCTGAATGTGGTTGTAGAAAATCAGATAATCTACCTTGTGCCCACTACCCATACTACTTATTTTATCTTACTGATTTCTAGCATACTTCCCTGGTTGCAAGTTCCAAACTCCCCCAGTCCATTCATTTCTCCAGTTAACAATGAATGCTTGAATCTTCCCATGTAATTTTCCTCATGTTCTGACTATTCCTATAAGAAAATTGAGGCCAGCCCTCATGACCTCATAGCCTAATATGTACATTAGGCATGAAAATGAATATGACAACAGAATGAGATTCATGCTTTACTAAACACATGCTAGACATATGCAAAAGTAGTATGTTGGCTTAAAAGAGGAGATTGACCGCCTCTATAAAAGTGGAACAGTGGTGGCTGCAGGGAGATTCAAAGGAGGTTCCTCAAAGGAGATTATTCTGGAACTGGGTCTGGGAGAGGAAAAGAAGCTCATAAGGGAGAGGCTGGGTTTCTTAGAAGACAGTTTCCTTGGTGTCTGCCACACTTGGCATTCTGTTTTCTAGTTTTAGCCTTCTAAATTTTCTTTTTTTTTTCTTTTTCTTTTTTTTATTTATTTTTTTATTTATTATTTTTTTTTATTATACTTTAAGTTTTAGGGTACATGTGCACATTGTGCAGGTTAGTTACATATGTATACATGTGCCATGCTGGTGCGCTGCACCCACTAACTCATCATCTAGCATTAGGTATATCTCCCAATGCTATCCCTCCCCCCTCCCCCCACCCCACCACAGTCCCCAGAGTGTGATATTCCCCTTCCTGTGTCCATGTGATCTCATTGTTCAATTCCCACCTATGAGTGAGAATATGCGGTGTTTGGCTTTTTGTTCTTGCGATAGTTTACTGAGAATGATGATTTCCAATTTCATCCATGTCCCTACAAAGGACATGAACTCATCATTTTTTATGGCTGCATAGTATTCCATGGTGTATATGTGCCACATTTTCTTAATCCAGTCTATCATTGTTGGACATTTGGCTTGGTTCCAAGTCTTTGCTATTGTGAATAATGCCACAATAAACAAACGTGTGCATGTGTCTTTATAGCAGCATGATTTATAGTCCTTTGGGTATATACCCAGTAATGGGATGGCTGGGTCAAATGGTATTTCTAGTTCTAGATCCCTGAGGAATCGCCACACTGACTTCCACAATGGTTGAACTAGTTTACAGTCCCACCAACAGTGTAAAAGTGTTCCTATTTCTCCACATCCTCTCCAGCACCTGTTGTTTCCTGACTTTTTAATGATTGCCATTCTAACTGGTGTGAGATGGTATCTCATTGTGGTTTTGATTTGCATTTCTCTGATCGCCAGTGATGATGAGCATTTTTTCATGTGTTTTTTGGCTGCATAAATGTCTTCTTTTGAGAAGTGTCTGTTCATGTCCTTCGCCCACTTTTTGATGGGTTTGTTTTTTTCTTGTAGATTTGTTTGAGTTCATTGTAGATTCTGGATATTAGCCCTTTGTCAGATGAGTAGGTTGCAAAAATTTTCTCCCATTTTGTAGGTTACCTGTTCACTCTGATGGTAGTTTCTTTTGCTGTGCAGAAGCTCTTTAGTTTAATTAGATCCCATTTGTCAATTTTGTCTTTTGTTGCCATTGCTTTTGGTGTTTTAGACATGAAGTCCTTGCCCATGCCTATGTCCTGAATGGTACTGCCTAGGTTTCTCTAAATTTTCTCTATCATTTAAGCTAGGCTCATATCCTTCTACTATACCTCCTGTAAATATAGACATTTCTCCAGACTCAATTTCAAGCTACCTATTCAGTTACATCTTTCAGAAAATTTACCTACTGTCAGAAGGTAATTCTTTACCTCATCCAGTGAGTCATCAAATCCTATTCTCAATACTTCTCACTACTAACAATTTCCTTTTTCAACCCAAGATATGAGGCTGGTATAATTACATTCTGGGAAAACTGATAAGAATGTCAGTTGAGCCACTTGCCTTCATTCTCTAAATTTGCTAGTTTATTCAAGATGAATCATTCTCATATACAATTTTTCAAAATATGCTCCCTGATTTCCACAAGGAAAAGTCTAAACCTTTTAGTTTGCTGTGCAAGACTCTCCATAATCTAGACCCAAACCACCTTCACAGATAAGTGCCCACTATTCCCTAAAAGAATTATTTTAGCATGGCATACACCAGCTCTCTCATGTCAACTCCTTCAAACTTCTAGCCTTAACTCTTTCCCAGTCCCAATTAGCTTTATGCTGTAGTCATGTTGAACTCATCTTGGTTTCTTGAAAATGTCTCCTTTCTGTCTTAGTATGCGCTCCTTTGCATGTGTCTCTTCTCAGACTTGTAAACTCATTGGGACAGGATATATGCTTCATTCAGATTTATATTCTCCCATCTTGACCCCTAGAAAAAACAAAGTTATTAAATATACTGATCAAATGAAATATTGCTTACAACTCCTTTAAAACCCTGCACTTCAGTGGGATGTCCTTTATCTTCTTAAAACAGACATCTAATAAAGATACATTTGAAATCTGATTCTCTCCAGTTATTTATGGGAAAAATAGTCTCTATTTGTACCTGTGGGAATACAGAGAGATAATTGCTTTGGTGACTTCCCGTAACCTAAAGCAACAAGAAAGTGACATAGCTGAGAATAGAGTTTAGTTCTTTGACTTCCAATTCATGTTTCCTACAAAGCATAACTTAACAATTTGGAAAGAAATTCCATATGAATTAAACATCTTTCTTTGAATTGAAATAAGTTTATTTTCAACATCAACACCTTCACTACAGGGTATTCTGTGAACTGAAAAGAAAGGCTCTGTGCTGAAACTGTGTCTCGCTAACACTTCAGCTGACATATTAACTTCTTGTTGAAGAGCTATTTAATTTGAATAGAATCTGAGCCGTTACAGTGGTAGGAAGATTTTATGTAACCTCATTTTTCTATTGATGAAAACTCCACTACCTTTAAGATCTAAAAAGATAAGACATCTGCCATTAAAAAAAAAAAAAAAATCACCGTTATCTGGAAGATACATTCACAGGCAGTTAACAAATATTGCATTAGGCTTTACACATTACCAGGCCACAGGAGAGGTGAAGAGGTGAAATCAGAGAATTGATAGGCTGTACATGTTAAAAATAATATTGACTATTAATTAAATGTATAATGAAACTTCAAATATATAAATATTTTTCTCTTACATGTTAAAGCTCATCTTGGAAAGAGCTTAAATTTCAATAAAAAATACAAGAATGAAAGCAAATGGCAAATACTTCAGCTACAATTCAATGAATATAATTTTCTTGCTTATAAATATGATTAAAGTTGCAGCACTTTTTAAAACATGAGAATCATGTATAGAACCATGTTTATGGAGTTTAAAAAGACTCTAGCAATGTACCATTTGACCACTGAGAGGGGTGAGGGTCTTTGCTTTCATCCCCGAAAGGATCCACAGTTTTTAAGGACTGTGTTTTGGTGCACAGAAGAGCACGCTCTCATGCGTAAGTAAATAAATTAGCATCGCATTCTTGGAATATATTTCCTTTATCCATCCTAGGGTAACCACATTTTGAATTGCTTTAAGTGAGTTATGATAATACCTGGGCTCCACTTTGGCATGTCAACAGATGACTAAGGGAAGATCTGGTTGAATTGTGAAGATTAGGCTGAGTTATTGATATTGTCTGTTAACATGGATAAACATTTTAAAATTGCTATACTCATTTGAAATCTACAATTTATTCATAACAATGTATAGAGAATCTGTATTCTAGTCGCTGTGCTAGAGTCTACAGAGCTAAAGTTAGATAAGATACAGTGGGAAAGAAAACACATATACAAGTCATTATTAAATAATGGAAAAGGATGGAGAGACGTAAGTAACTTGAATCTTAAACACAAACAGAAAACCATATAGGAATTTTCAAGGTGAAGAGTGTGAGTAAAGGCATTCCCATCATAGGGAACTTCATTTGAAGAGCCAGGAAGACAGAAAACAACATAGTGTGGGTGGAGAGCTGTATTAGTCTGTTCTCACACTGCTGTAAAGAACTGCCCATGACTGGGTAATTTATAAAGGAAAGAGGTTTAATTGACTTATAGTTCTACATGGCTGGGAGAGCCTCAGGAAACTTATAATCAAGGCATAAAGGAAAACAAACATATCCTTCTTTCACATGGTAGCAGGAGAGAGAGGTGCTGAACAAAGACAAAAGCCCCTTATAAAATCATCAGATCTCATGAGAACTCACTGTCATGAGAACAACATGGTGGTAACTTCCCCCCTGATTCAATTACCTCCCACTGGGTACCTCCCATGACATGTAGGGATTATGGGAACTACATTTCAAGATGAGATCTGGGTGGAGAGACAGCCAAGCCTATAAAAAGCTATAAGCAACTCAGTGTTGTTAGATTATAAAGTTCAAACAGAGAAGAGGAAAGATACACCTGTAGAGACAGAAAGAGTCCTGGTCAAGTTATATTAGCTGTGGCATACAGGGCAGTTTGAACTTCATCCTACAGAAAAGACTCATTGAAGAGTTTGAAGAGATGCTTTGTGTTTGAAATAGAACACCTTGGCAGTGGTGTGTAGAATAGATTTGAGAGGATAAAATTATGAGCCTGAAGATCAAGTAGTTAAGAGATTATTGAAGTAGTCTAAGAGAGAGGTGTTTTGAATCTAAATGAAAACACTGATAGTAATGATGAAAGTATGGGAAAAGATTTTAAAAAATATTTAGAAGACAAATTTAGCAAAACTGTTGCATAGAGACAGATTGAGGAATTAAGAATAATTATTCTTGGGTTTTTCTTTTGAGTGATTATATATTTTGTGCCATTAACTTGGTTAGAGATTAAGGAGAATGACATGGAAGAGAAGGAAGAAGTGGAAGGGAGGGAGGCAATTTTAACTGATTGTTGCATATTTAGGCAAACTGGATTCTTTTATATTAGTGGGCTGCTCAATGATAAATATAATGACATAAGAATGTGTTCATTATCCTTGAAAAGTTTTAATACAACATGTATATTCTCAACTGAATTAGCTTAATTATGATTTTGATTTTTACTTTGAAATACTATAGCATTTTCTGAGAATACTTCAGTTTTTCAAATATTCTTTATATACGTATATGAAAAGAAATATCTGAAAATCATCCATTTATAGAATAGTAGAGAAAGCAATAGTAGATCAGACTGATTTTTGAGGTATCCCATCATTCTGTTCCAGGGTTAATATTTAAGAAAGAACTTTAAAAGTTTAGGGATATCCATCAAACATCGCTAGATTCATTAATGAGGTAAGGACTTATCTGTCTTAAAGAATTTAATCCAGGAAATTATGGCTAAAATAAATAGAGAGCTCAAGCTATTCATCTGATTCATGTTTATTGAGATTAATGTTTTTGTTTCCTAGATTTGGTCATTATTTCATTACTAAGATGCAGTTGATAAAACCCAAACCAAATAAAAAAGTCAGCTAACAAAAAATATTACTTCATAATCTAATGACTTCCCTTTCATCTCTAATTTGCAATAACTTAATGTTTTCTTTGACTATGAAAAGGATTTCAAAGCCAGCCTATATGGAAAAAGGAAAGAGCTGTGTTCTAGCAACTGATCCTGGAACTATACACAGTTTATGCATTTTTTGTTAAAATAAATTTTAGAACACTGGAAATATTTTATCACATAATGAAATATCTGATGACACAAAATTTCCAATGACATTAAAGTAAATAAGATACGTCTAGATTTCACACATTTCTATGCCTTCAAACACTAAACATTTCTTTATATACATTTACAACAGGTTCCTCTATAAAATTATACTTGCAATGCAGATGTTAGAAAGTCATTTATACCATGATTTGTTATACATGTGATGCCAGTGATTTATGTTCATTATGATACAGTTTATTTTAACTAAAATGAATCATCTATAGGGCTGATAAAAAGATAGCCCATAGGAACAGAGGCCTTTTTAACTTCCAGGTTATGACTTTTAAATCTTCCTAAATCATTACTGCTACAGTGCATTAAACGACACCCAAGTGACCTAGCAGAGTTGATGTGCTTCCCTAAGCACATGAAAGAGTATTAGATTATGACACTCAGGAAAATCTAGCATTTTATGTTTAATCAACCAGAACAAAGGGTATTCTACATATTTGTTTCTTATTTTCCCAACTAGTCTTAGAATAATACTTAGCTCTCAAAGGAATGAGTGCAATCCAATGGAAATCATTACAGTATTAATCTAAAACAACTTCAATACCCAGTGGGTAATCAGAGGCATAGTCAATCTATGTATGCCTTTAAGACAGTTCAGTGAAAGGCAAGACAGGTTTCTGCTAACTTCTTGGTGTTCTCTAGGTTAGTAGCAGGTTGATATTTGAAATTTGGTCTAGAGACAGTTATGATTATTTCCAGTTTTCTTTTCAAAGCAGGTCACACTTACTTTTTTGTCAGACTTTTTTGTTGCAATTGTCCTCAATATTAATTTGGAATGAGTTTTAACATGTTACTCCATAAATGTTTGAGAACAGTTGAACTAAGATATGTTCCCTAGGAAATGATAAATGATCATTTTAATACTACCATGAGAAGAAATAACTATTCCAGGGCATCGAGTGGCAAGCCCAGCAGCCCTATAAACCTACCACAAGAGTCAAGTTCATTGGAATGACTATCTTATGGGAAAATCTGGCAGGATCACTTTGAAGCATTTTTAACATAAGAAAAAAACATGAACTTGTTAATCTCCTAGTCACCAAAGGGCCACATTAAAAAGATTTGCTATAGTTGAGGGATTGTTCAAGGTTATGATATCACCTGTCAAACATCAAAACATGAGGTGCACAAGACTCAAAAGAAATTCAGAAACTTTCAGTTTTACATTCGGTAATGGGTCCCCGGGAGTAACTGGGTGTCCTTGACAATGTGCTATGGTTAGTTTCTGCTGCTCTAGGCATTTTGCTGAATACTGTTTTCATACCTTTATGGGCATGCAGTCATAAACAATACCAAGAAATGGTAAAATAAGTATATGAACTTATTTGGTCTTGTTTACAGTAAAAATTCAGAAAATGTGGAACTCTTAAGATTGAATGAATGCTTATTGCTTTTTATGTTTTGAAATAATTGAATGTGTTTTTTAAAAAATTATGGTTGAATAAATTTGGAGCAAAAACATTTTTTAGTCTATGACGAATGTTTAATTTTACTTGAAACTAAGTTATTAGGTTTGAAGTATAGTGAGTGGTGGAATTCCAGCTTATTTCTTCATAGCGATATATCTCTATCTTAATAAGAAAATCAATATAATTGAGTCTTGAAATTTTAACAACGTTAAAGCCAAAAATATATTATGATTCATAATCTAGGGTTTCATACATAAATCTATAATAATTGCTTAGTACATACAAATATGCAGAGAAAGGACAACTTTCTTGTGATAGAATTATACTATGTTATGATTCATTATTGGTAGCATAAAATATAAAAACATATATATAAAATATAACATTTATATATAACATTATATATATAAAATATAAAAACATTATATTTTGTGCTGTCTACCAATAATGAATCAGGTTGTTTCAGGTACATACAAATTGAAACAAGTGTCTTAAATAGGATGGTTAATGCCTTAAAAGACAATGTCATTTGATTAGCTTTGTGTCCCTGTGTCTGTCAGATAGCAGGAGCTCTGTAAATGCTTACCACATGAATGGATGAATTTGTATACAAGTGGCCTGAGGAATTTACAATTCATAAATGTAGTGCACATTATCTCATTAGATATACAAAGTGTTTTGGCGCAATAATGTTACATCATTCATTTGATGTAAAACCAGAATTTTGAAAGCTCTTTTGATTAATAAATTCAGTAACTTTTTGGATTTATAATTTAGATAACATAATTTTACAAGGCGTAATGACATGCATATCCCTGCCACATACAGCTCACCAGAGGTTTTGATAACCATGCTATATTCCCACATAAATATGAGTAGGTCTTAAGTTATGTTTATGACTCATTTTCCCTAAGATGGGCACTATTTCCTGCTAACCAAAATAATTCCTGTATAGGCTATGTACTTACCAGGTAATGCAGAAATGAAAAAAATATACTCTTAGATGAGTTTAGGGTTTCTAAACTCACATCCCTGACCATAAGAAATTCTTAATAGAAATACATGATAAAATGAATTAAAAAGCATACGTGATATAAACTGAAGTGTTATCATTCTTGACTTGTATTTATTCGTAGTTTAGTAAAAGAGTACATTACCTCTATTATTTTGTCAATTTAATTACTATTAAATTCCTCCTGGGGTTTTGTTTCTCATAAAATATGGTCATTGTAACTCCAACATAACTAAATGCAGCCACTCAAGGTGAGGATGATAGATTGCACAATTTTTAACATAACTGTAAATAACATTAACATGAAATTTAGAAAGAAAGCTAAGAAAGTGTCAACTTTAAACTTGCCCTGTGTCAACATCTGAATAGCTTCCATGGTCTCAGTTTCATTTCTTGCCAAGGAAGAGTCTTAGAAGAGAGACTTCTAATGTCTATTTATATTTTAAATGTCTCTTTCACATAATACATTTATTATCATCATCATTATCATTTATTTCCATTATCATCATTATTAGTTTTGACTCATAGCTTTAAGAACTTAAAAGCCCCAGGGATTGTTCCATCAAAAGGCATAGCTTTATCACTCCTCCTCTGGCCTGATGGTTGTCTCATCTTCTAGAAAAAAATCCAGTGACTATAGATGATGATTTTTTTGAATATAATCATTTTTTGACTGGGTTATAATGCAACAAAAAAGGTACAGTTAATGAAAAGTATATGAGAATGTATTTCTCACTACAGCACTGTATTTGTACTACATATTATACTGTTTCTCTACAAATTTAAAAATTAGTTTCTTAGATTTTAACCTAGCATCTTCATAAACATGATCTAACTTACAATTACATTGCAAAGATTTGAAAACTATGACAAAATGCAAGTAAGTTACTCCAGGTGATTTAATGAGGTAGTTGCAAAGCCCCAACTGTTATGAGAAATCTAAGATGGTCTGATGCCTACTGAGAATATGCTTTATCCCTTATTTCATCATTCTTCCAGGGTTTTTCCTAAAACATTTTCAGCAAATTAAATTTTAAATGCTTTCCATTAACACTAAATCTAGCTAGATCATGTTTTTCTATACACAATTGACAGGTGTACCTCACATTTAAATAAAGAACAAAGTGTGTTTCCATATCCAGTAATTTTGTCTGTTAACCTAGCACTTTATTACATTGGCATACAATCACTATCACTATTTTATTTTAAATCAGCACTTTAGGATGCTCTAAAGAACTGATGTTTGGGCCGGGCTGGGTGACTAATGCCTGTAATCCCAGCATTTCTGGAGGCCAAGGCAGGTGGATCACGAAGTCAGGAGATCGAGACCATCCTGGCTAACATGGTGAAACCCCGTTTCTACTAAAAATACAAAAATTAGCCGGGCGTGGTGGGAGAATGGCGTGAACCTGGGAGGTGGAGCTTGCAGTGAGCCGGGATGGTGCCACTGCACTCCAGCCTGGGCAACAGAGCGAGACTCCGTCTCAAAAAAAAAAAAAAAAAAAAAAAGAATTGATGTTTCAAGATATTTTACTATAAGAAAGCTTGAAGCATCTGTGCTTCAAGATTTTATTTTGGGAAATCTCACTTTGACATATTTATGTCTTAATAACATAACCAGCAATCTTTAATTTTCTATAGTGATGCCAGGAAATATATATTCCACTCCCCAGAAGAGTTGGTATCTGGTGGTATGTTCTACATATCAAAAACCTGTCATGTTACCAAAAAAAATGTTAGAACATAAAGTGTGGGTGAATCATTACTTCTAATTCTTTCCCTAAAAATTGTGTTTTTAAAATACTTTGCATACCCTTGAAACAACATAGAATGAAAGTTGTGTTAGAGTTTCCATAATGGGAAATCCAGTGGTCCTCAAACATTTTATTAGCAGTTTTTAATAAAAAAAATTAATACAACTTATAAATTTGGGGTGAAATGTAGTTTTAATAGCATTCTCTTTTATGTCATAATATGTGTTTGTGTTTGAGTAAGGGCCCTGCCAATTGCTAACTGCAAGACTTAGTAATTCAGTTCCCCAGACTAGAGACTCTTCACTTGTAAAATGGTGCAAATAATAGCTTACCTCATGGAGTAGCTGTGAAGATTAAGTAAGACAATGCTTGCGCAGTCTGAAGCATAGCTTTTACCACTAAGAAAACAATAGCAATATTTACAAATGAATCAGATGAGAAGCTCCGGTGAAGCACAGGTTGGAATACCTTAAGTCTTACATTCTTAGTAACCCTTCCAGGCATTGTTAATGGTTCAGAAGGTGAGTTTCAAACACTTTCTCCTCTTCATTCCCCCATCAAATTGAGGTTTTATCGATAATCCAGAGAAGAAGAGTTTAGATAAATGATGTGTTTTCCTTATTATATCCTGGATTCTTCCTTACTGTTTTATTAAGATAAGCAAGCATAGTCATTTCCCCTGATTACAGGGACCTACACACAAGAGCAGCTTTAGGGTTACAATACAATGAAGAGCTAGCACTCAGAATGGCTTTCACCTCTCACACAGTGGCTGATATTGGTAGGGGGTAATACATATCAAAAGAGGTGACATTAGCTATTCGTTGAGCTTCATGAAGCTCAGAAAGTCGGGGATTGTCTGTCAGAAAGTCCAGAATTGTCTGCCATTTTCTAATCTTAGAGGCTAACCCTATGAGAACAGGAAACAACAACAACAAACAAACAACAACAACAACAACAAAACACTGATTTGGGACCACTGGTCCTTGTTCTGTATTGACTGAAAATATTCCTCCCTATTATCTCATAAGACTGACAATCAGATTGACTTCCAGGGTTAAGGGGCTCACATATTAAAACACAGCCTAGGTTTTATGTGCCAACCAGGGCATTATGATAGGTTAATACAAAAATATTTTGCCTAACACACGGATAAAAGTTATAGGTTAACAATTTTAGATATAGTCTGCTGGTAAGTTCTTCTGAATTCAGCTTGACTTCCTCATGCATCTGTGGTCTACACGTCAGCTAGGAGGTTCTCCGGGGTGACAAGAACAATGGAGTCATGTGTTTCTCATCTTCTGGAAAG
Organism: Homo sapiens; assembly: GCF_000001405.40. Lineage (NCBI taxonomy): Eukaryota > Metazoa > Chordata > Mammalia > Primates > Hominidae > Homo > Homo sapiens. The sequence continues at coordinate 84,481,992 of NC_000005.10, forward strand.
CTAACTGAACTTAGTTACATACCTCCAAAGGCAATATATGGTACATCCATCCCAGGATCTTGCAAAACGTCATCCAATCATGGCACCAGGCTGAAAGCCATGAAATTGAGAATCTGTATCAACACTAGATGCAGGTCTTTGGATACACTCCCTTTGCTCCAGAGACCTTTGAAAAACGGAGGAAAGAAAAGTTATCTTTCTTCTGTATCCCAACAGATAATTGTGAGACAGAACCAGAAAAACTGCAGAAACACTCTCATCTTGAGGGGAAAGCCGAGAAACATTGCAGTCACTGCTTCATGACAATTCTGAAATCCAGTGAGGTAAATGCCACCAGGTCTACTTATTCTAGGAACAGAGAATTTTCTTGGTCAGGGTTTAGTTCTGCTCCCTAGAAATCAGTCCACGGTTCATTGCATTTCTTGCCTTTCATCTCCATCCTCTTGGATGTCCTTTTATTTCCACTCTTTTGGCCACTTCTGAAAATGTTATTGGAAAATATACCTTTTAGGATGTTTCTTCCAATTCCTGTTGAAAGAAACATAGGGACCCATAGATCTTTTTTTAAATTTTGAAGTACTCGTTTCATCCTTGCAAGCAGTGCCTTTGTTAGTCTAATTCCCTTTAAAATTTTATAGCTTTCAATAAATTTGATTATATCAATTCCATTCATCAAAAGTCATACCCACAGTACTGTCTACTTTGCTTGGGTATGCCAGGCTGCTGTGGGATACCCTTACGATTTTTAGAAACCCTTTTGTCTAGTTGAGAGGGTCTAATACACACTGTCTGAATTCTCTCTGTTGTTCTAAGAAGGCATCTTACAGCCATATCCTTGGTTTTGACATTGCCTCAGACCATGTTTAAGAATATTTTATACATTGTGGAAACTAGATATTAAAATCAGTTTTATTTTCCATCACAGCGTTAGGCAAGTTAGGTGGCTCCACTTCTGGGGTTTGGTGAGTGGCTGTCTGGCTTAAGGGGTGGGGAATAAATGGCCACACTTGTCTCATGCTCCAGGAGGCCAGCTCTTGTCTTAATTCACATGGCATGGTACAGTTCTGAAAAGGAACAGAAAGGAGGAAGGCCTGAGACCTGATATGTGGTTACTTCCATAGCAATCTATTGGCCAGCTCAGATTCAAGTGTTAGGAAAACAGACTTTGCCTCTATGGGAGAGTGAAGATTGGTGGGCATTTTTGCAATCTGCCATAGTGCTATTAATAATAACATGAACTATTGGTTGAATTGCATGTAGCATCAGACAATCTGGAATTGATTGCTGCCTTTTTGTGTTCTCTGTGAGCATCCCACATGATATGAGAAATAGAAATGAACAGTGGTTGGGGACCAAGGAAAATTTTCTGCTTCTACAGTCTGTTAAGATTTCTCTCTGGTATCTCATTTAGTCAAGAACCAGGATCATTGGGGCAAGGAACATGGGCAGAGTTTATGTACCAACCTGGGCATTAGAAATGGCAAATGCAAAATATCATGTATACCAAAACAGTTAAAAATAGACCCTGATGAGACAAAAATTACTGTGACTTTTCGATTACTGGAGTCAAAGAAAAGTTCTCCAAGATGAAAAATAAAAAGATCTACAACAAAAGGATCAAAATCAGAATGACTGAATTTTTTAATAGCCACAGCAGAAGCAAGAAGATAAAGGAGCAATGCCATTTACATTTTGAAGGAAAATATTTGCAACCTAGATTTCTATACTCATACAAACTACCAACCACATGAGACATTTAGAATTTTAAAAAATCTGCTTCTCTCATGCACTTTCTTAGGAAGTTATCCAAGGATATGATCCACCATTAAGGGAATAAGACAAAAAGAAGAAAGAAGGAAAGAGAGAAAAAAAAAAAAAAGAGAGAGGGAGGAAGTGGGGTGGGGGGGCAGGGGTGGGGGTGGAGAGAGAGAGAGAGAGAGAGAGACATTATATACCAGAAGCAGATCTCATGCTGAAGATAGGAGAAGAAAATTTCTGGATGATGGTGTGATGTTAGTGCATCCTGGGATCATTTCTGTGTCCAGGTATAAAGGTAAACTTGTTTCGTTTAGAGTAAGTTCAACAATTTGTAGACAGGGAGAGGGAAGAAATCATTATCTGTCGACCTAATATAAGTCAGTGGAATTATTATTATATAGATTATGTATATCTGAAATTGAATCACAGAACAGTGAATACACATGTTTCTAACCTGCTGGTTACACTAAAACCTAGTGTCTTTCTGCTAATCAATATCTCTGCAAGAGCCTTCTGTTTCCTTTAGGCTACGATAAGAAAGAAAACACAAAATTTCAGAATAAAAAAGAATTACCCTACATATTGATACATGCTTATGTGTTCACAGAAGTATTCCTGGAAAGATATTCGACAAGCAGGGAAGACTGGCTGCCTCTGGATAGGGAAAATGCCAGGTGGGATAGTAGACTGACAATTTTCGCTGTTTACCAGTCCCACTAAGATAGAAGAGGAACATTTTTCAAATGTGAATCTTTTCATAATTTTATTTTTGAAACATAGATTTATAATAAAATAAAAAAGAAAAAGCTTTCACTTTAAATGATAAAATTATATAAAATTTTGACTGTCCTGGAAAACTGAGGTTATCTCCAGAGTACTGGTCCTCACTTGCTCTGCAATTTGTTCCTCAGCATACCTTTAGTCAAATGATGTAAGCACGTTATTAGACTCAATTTATTTTCTCATCTGAGGTTCAATAACATTTAACATAATAACATTCAAAATTCATGTTTATTGTAATTTATATTAAAACATGATAACTGCATAATGTTCTGTTCTATGTAACACAACTTTTTGTTTTGTTTTGCTAAATAAACCAGTTAGCCCCTAGAACAGGGTCTGACATTGAGTGAACACCAAACAGAGGTTTGTAAAGTAAATGAGTGAATATAAATCATCTCAATTATTATTAAAACAATCTGCTGAAAGTCTGACATTTTAGGCAGAGATTGATGCTGGTTAAGCTGTTAATATGCAGTTGTGCCCTTTTCGGAGCTGCAGCGTGTATCAAAGTGCTTACAGTTCAACAATCCAGAAAGTAAGGTTTTGTTCAGACAGGAGCTGTTGTTTGCTCCTATCTTCTCTTTCCCCCTCAGTGGCTGCAATGATACACATTTAGTCCCAAACTTATTTGTGATTAGATGCTGGATATCATTAGTCCAATTAGCATCAATGTCTCCAGAGAATGAGAAGGAAGTTGCCTCATATTATTACAACTTACAACCTGAAAAAATTCAAATTCTGTAGAGAAAACCTATACCAACTTGTGAAATGAAAATCTGATTTGTTGGAGTTGGAAATCATTTTTTTATATATTTATAATAGATGTCTGTTTCTGATTCAATCTAAAAAAATAAATCCCCACCACAATTTGACTGTGTGAAGGTTTGAGTAGCATTAAAAAGCTATTTTTAACTGATTAATGAATAAAAAATATGTTGCAAGAAATATATTAAAAACCTAATTAATGTTCATCTGCTCTGTGACTGCTTTTCTGTGGGTGACATTTGTGAAAATAATTAATTTTTCATTTCATAGAACACATGACTTTGCAAAAAGTTTTGAAGGCTACATTAAAAAGTTATGGTTTGAGGGAAAAATATTCTAAAACTGAATAACATTGCTAATTCTATGGGTAAAGACATTTTGTATGTTTAATATTAAATAATCTCATGTTTCTATATATTTTTAGTAGAAAAGATACACATATTATAACTTTTCCCAAGACAACGTTAAAATAGAGAAAATAAAAATGTATAGGCACATTAATTCAATTACTCAACAGCTACTTACAAAGTGTCAGTGAAGTATAGGCATTGTATTTTGTGTTTGGGAGGTATCAATATGGATTATATGTTAATAGTATTTTTTTGACTCCTAATGGCTTCATAGATGTGTACCTAAATAAATATAAGCAACAATTTTTTTTCTTTAAGAAAATGCAAATCTAAACTTCATACCCAAGACATGCAAGATACAGGTTAGTAGTACTTCCATTTTTAAGAATTCTAGCAAATTTTGCTCAGGTGAAAAGCTCTTGAGTTACATTCTAATGCATTACTGATAAAATCCTAGATCAATAAAATCCTCATCCATCCTCTAATCTGCTTATTTTTCAACGGCCCGTTTATTAATTACCTCATTCCATAAATGTTTCTTGAGTTCCTACTGTGTGCTCAGCACTGCTTTAGGTATTAGAGATACACAGTGAACAAAACAGACACAAGTCTCCACTTTCATAAAACCTCATCTGTTATGGAGCTGCAAATTGCAGAATTAAAAAGGAATTAAGTGGAATGGGTAGAGCCTCCCTGGCTGGGTCAGCTAGCACATTGCCAAACATGAAAGGGAAAATGAATGAATGGTCAATATACTTTGCCAGTATGGGCAATCTGTTAGCTGGAAGTTACGACTAAGCCATTGCTACAATTATTTAACCAAAACTCTTCTCACTTCAAACCCTTGGCCTCATCAGTCATTCTCCAACTCTCTAAATGACCAACTTTTTTTGAATTACTATATCCAACGTACTGTCCATGCCCACCACTCATCTCCTGCCTTACCTCACCCAGATCCCTCTTAATCCCAAGGCTTTTTTTATTCTTTCCTAGTACTTTTCCCAGTCTGCTTACCTGACTTGCTTTGAGTTCCTGGTTTACTGTCCATCTCCTCTACTAGAAGGTATGCTTTCTGAGAGCAAAATCCATATCCATCTTTTTACTGTTACCAAGCACAGTGTCTGGCATATAAAAGAATCTCTGTAACTAATGAATAAAGCAGGCTATGAAACATTTAAGAGATATATGGAAGGATGAAGAAGACTGTAGGTAGTGAGTGGAGAACTCCGTGGACATACAAAGAAAATGTGACCCAGGTTAAAGCTAGTGCATAAGAAAGAGAGCTTATAATTTCCTGTTCTTAACAAAAAAATACTCTTAGCAAAAAACCCAGAACACTATTTTTGCATGAGACTCAAACTGATTACCCATTTTGTACTTGATTTCTGTGAGATTCTGCCTCCATTTTTGCTCCATATAAATCTCTATAGTAATCTCTCCCTCTTCAGCTAACCTGGATGAGACTCAGTCAAATAACATAACTTATCTACTGGAAATACCTTATTTAATTTATGAGTTGCTCCCTTAGAGGCTTGTGTCACAATATCTGTGATACAGGATCACTTAAAAAAACTTTCTCCTCAGAGAACTGAGATATTTTTCTTCCCAGTATTAAACCAGAAAGAAATGAAATTTTTCTAGTGATGTGAAAAGATTTACCCTAGTCCAGTAGTTTAAAATCAGTTCAGACTATGTTGATTATCTTCTGTGCAATCTGGAAACATCAGAATATTTCCTGGTAGCAATTTATATCACAATCATAAAACCACAACACACAAGTTAGGTCTCAATCATCAGCAAGAGGAAGCAATTTAATGAAATAGAAAAGCTTTTCGGCTACCCTAGATATTCAGCTCAATTGAGTTATTGGCAACTGACAATTGGTTATAGTTATGAGGCTAAAACTCTAAGGAATTTGGAGGTTTATTATCTCAGAAATTACGTATCCTCTCAGTGACCACACAGTGGCTGAAGATTGCTCTATTTTAGAGATAACAAGTTCTAATTTTTATATTTAGGTACTAGAAATAGAATATTTTATCAAGTGCTCTACACACTAATGGAACATCTTAGTGTTGACTGCACTGAGGGCTAAACATTCCACCCATAAGCTAATGAAGGCATTTTGAGATTTATGTAAACTCTAGAAATTTACCATGGGTTTATTTCTTACGGATATTTCAAGGATTTGTGAGACTTGTGATTTGTATATAATTCCAGAGGTTAATTTGTATAAGCAAGTAGTACAGGTAAATACAGTTGGTTAGAATTTCATTTCTAAGACTTATAGGTCTTTCATAAACAATTGGAAATTAAGTTTTTAATTTTTATAGTTTTATCTTTGCAGACCCAGTGAAATAAGAGAAAATGGTTGGCAAGTTGTTGGCTGTGTTCATTCCAGTTAGAGGCAGATGTGGTAGTTGCAACTGGGTGAAATGAGACTTCTTTCTCAGACACAGGCTTGGCAGGATGCCTTCTCCTTCTCCTTCTGGCAGGAAAAGAAGCAATGTCCTCATCATCTCCCACATCAGCACACACAACTACTGGCATTGGTATTTTCTGATGTCATTACAGATGACTCTTATCTATCTCAGGCCATTTTTTTCTCTTGGGTTCTGGATCCTATTCCCTCTTTCCTTTTTAAAAACTCTGCTTTACTGCTTTTGCAATAATCCTCACTTCCATGGATTTTTCCTCTCAAAGATCTTATCCTCAGAGAATTAACTTATGTTGTATCTTAACATAAATACACTGTTAAGAAATATAATTATTCCAGTGATGTGAAAAGTCTTATTCTACAAGTATCGGCATATAAATAAAAAGTATTTTTTAATCCTAAAAACAAACAAACGAAACCTCCCCAGACTCAGTGGTATGGTTTGCTAGCAAATGTTAACTCACCAGTTTTCCAGGGGTTTGAAGGGAAGGAGGCTGGTTTATAGCATTTTCCAATGTCCATGTTATAATTATCTAATGATGGCTATTTCAAGTTACTGGTGCACTGTCTTTGAATACAGAGTTGGGAAGAAATGTGCAGTAGCACACCATTATATCTTCCCACCATACAGAAACGATAGATGTAGATGACCACAAGGGCAAATGTGACAGACTGGATGTTTGTGTACCTCCAAATTCATATATTGAAGCCATACCCCTTAATGTGATAATATTTGGAGACAGGCCTTTAAGAGGTAATTAGGTTTAGATGAGGGCATGAGGGTAGGACCCTCCCAATGGAATATTCATGTTCTTATAGACAGAGTGCTCACATGCTCTCTCTCTGCGATGTGAGGACACAGCAAGAACGTGACACCTTGATCTTGAACTTCCCAATTTTGAAAATGGTGAGAAAGAAATGTCTATTGTTTAAGTCATACCATTTATGGTGATCTGTTTTAGGAAACTGAGTGGAATAATACAGCATAAATAATAGTTAAGTGTTATAAATTATTAGAAAATGATAAATTTTGAGCTTATTACCATTGTTTTCCCCTTTTCTTCTTATTTTTAAATAATAGATTCATTGAAATTTTTAAACATTCTGTATAGGTGATCCAATTCAGGTCCACAGTTTAAACACCATCAGTAGAGTAAGGATTTGAAAATCTATATCTCTAGCCTTAAGCTCCAAACTAAAAAAAAAAAAAAAAAAATCTCTCTACACCCACAATCATCTATATAATTGCCTTCTTGGCTTCAACATTTAAGAGGCATTGAAACTTAATATATTCAAAACAGAACTCTCCCTATAAAAAGTCTGTGCCTTTTAGAGCCCTGTATCTTATCCTTATTAGTTCATGATATTACAAGGTCCTGAGTTACTCAAACTGAAAAGCTACACATCTTCCTTCATTTCTCTTCCCCTTACCACCCAGATCCAAGTAGAGTAGATTCTATTTTCAAAATATTTCTCAAATCCATTTACTTCTCAGATGACCACCTTTAACCAGTCTCTTGATTGGGACTTCTACATCCCTGTTTTCTCCCTGACTCACCTTTTGCCCTCTTAAAATCTATTTTCCAAACTTTCCAAAATGCAATATCTAATGCTTTTTAAGTACTTATTAAGGGCCAAACTGTTCCAGAGTACTTTAAATTTTAAACTCATTGAATTCTCACAGCAAATCTATGAATTAGGGCATTATTATTATCCACATTAACTTGAGAAAACTAAGGTGTAGATGCTTGAGAGACATCATCCTTTGTCACATAGCCAATAGCTAATATGAGAGAATCCAAGATTCAGCCCAAAGGTGTATTGTACCTGACCATAATCTGATAACCATTACTGATCTGCCTCCAGGAAAATCAGACCATCTTGTTCCTCTAACACTAAGCCCCTCATTCTCCATCCCCCCATAAGCCCCCAAGTTGTTCTTTGTAGATAAAATTTCAAACTTCTTATACTTGCTTTCAATGTTCCAAATGATCAGCCCTCTGCTTATCTCTCTGTATTAGTTTCCTAAAGCTGCCACAACAAATTACCCCAAGCTAGGTGGATTAAAATAACAAACTTTCCTCTAGCAGTTCTGGAGGCCAGAACTCTGAAATTAACCTGATGGCAGGTTCTCACTCCCTCTGACTCTAGGGGATAAATCTTAGTTGCTTCACATTCCTTGGTCTCCTTGGCTTATGGCTAGCTCTTTTCAATCTCTGCCTCTGTTTTCTTTTATCTTCTCCTTTTCTGTGTGTGTTTTCTCTTTTCTTGTTTGTGTCTTCTCTTTCCTTGTTTGTGTCTTCTCCTCTTCTGCCTTTTATAAGGATACTTGTCATTAGATTTAGAATCTACCTGAATAATCCAGGATGATCTCATCTCGACATTCATTCTTTGTATCTGCAAAGATCCTTTTTCCCAATAAAGTAATATTCTCAGATTTCAAGGCTTTAGACATGGACATATCGTTTATGGGGGAGCACCATATGACTCCTCACATGCTCCAAACTTATACTGCATATTTTCCTGTCTCCACCATTAGGCTTTGGACACACTGACTTTCTTTTTATTCCTAGGAGATAATAAGCTCACTTTACCTCAGGACCTTTGCAGCAGCTCTGCCCTGTGCTTAGATTGATCTGTCACGAAACCTTAAAGTCTGGCTGATTCTCATTCTTCAGATTCCAGGTAAAATATCACTCCCACAGAAAGGTTTCCCTTCCCACACAATCAGAAGTCACAACCCTGTCACATAACTTTGTTTAAATTCTCCATAACTCACTCACCCTCATCTGATATATTTATTTTCTAGTTATTTTTATTTGTTCATTCATTCATTTATTTAAAAAATTATTGGCTGTCACTTTCAAGAAAGTTTAATACAAATTGTGACCTTGCCTCTTTAGTTCAGGTTGTTACTTCAGGGCACTCAAATCTAATTCTGCAGCAAATTAGTAAATCCATTAATAAGTTACTAAATACATTTTTGTTTCATGTGGAATGGCAGAATTGTGCTCCCATCAGAAGTAACTGCATAGTATCTGTATAGTGTCTTAACATGGGTGGAAATCCAGTGATTTCTTTCTGCATCAGTGATACGAGTGGTTTGAAGAATGCTTTTCCTTTGTGACAGTGCAGGTAACTGAGAGAATGATTACCTCTCTGCATCAAAGCATGTCCTGATGAAAAAATGAACGCAAGGCAGAGTGCTAGAGATTGTTTGCGTCTTCCATTGTTCATCTTTCCCAGATGGACAGGGGAAAGTCAGAGCTAATAAAACAGGATTTAGTCATGAGGGTTTTGAGGAAATATTCATGATCCAGATAAGTCATTATATACAGTGCCTACTGCCATGCCTTGTACAGAATAAACGATCCAAAACAATGTGCACGTTGTTTTCAAATAGCTTACAAAGGAGATAATGCTAAGTGTATACATTAACCTAAAAGACCCCTCAGTTTCCTGGAAATCAGCACCCTCATCTGACCAAAAGAGGTCAGAACCAGGGATGAACCAGTGTTAGGATTAAGCATGGGGTAAAGAGGGTTGAGAAATAGCTGATACTTATAACCACTAAAAATATCCAAATAGAAGGCCCATAAGGTTATATTTAATAAAATATGGTTGATCATTTTCCTGAGGAGATAGGAAAAAACTCATTAATTGCAGCTTTCACATCTGTGGGTGCGTGACTGTGGATACATGCATATGCTCATCAAGATTTTTATGGAAACACTAACAAGTGAAGAAGAATTAATAAGATGAATATGATTATGATAGCCTTGGCAACCGAACTAAGTTCTTGCTAAATAGAGGGGAATCTCAAAAAGAGAAAATGCAAGACAGATAAAAGGATCACTATAGAATTCTGAGAAATGTATGTGACAGTGTCAAGAAATTAATAAACTATGATTACCTAGAGATTATTGTATCATTTTGGTATTGTTTATGTCTTGAGAAAATTAAAGAAACAAGGCGTGATCCTTCTAAAGAAAAGAATAAAATTCAAAATTCTAGAGATGTTTGAAAGAATATCAGCAAATAATTACTCAAATATAAATGTTACTATTCAAGGGCAAGTGCTAAGTCCTAAGTGCTAAGTGGTTACAAGGGACCCCAGAATCATGCTGGAGGTGAAACAGTGACAGAACGGGCACTTCCAGTAAGAAACTGAAGACTGGCTGCACATCAATTCACTCAGCGACTGGAGGTAGAGCTTTTGGAAACAGGTAAGTTACTAAATGTGAAATTCAAGTGATTAAAAGGTTTTGACACCAAAGCAACTAACTTCATACCATAGTTTGGCATTCGTTGTCTCAGAAGAGAATTAGCATTTAGAAACTGCAGCCTCAGAGAACTGTGAGAAGGCTTTCAGGCACTGAGAAGGAGCTCCTAGAAGGAGATCAACCCAACATGGAGTTGTAAGCAAGTACTACAACACAGAGTAAGAAAAGCCACAATAAGGTAGATACTGATCATCTTTATTTTCTAGGCAGATTTTATTTTGTATGTTGTAGATTTTGCTATTATTCTAGTTTAAAGGGACTTATCTCAATTCACAGTTCAGTTAATCTTGATTTATTGTACAAGTTCTTAAAAAGTTATCCCTTTTTCAGACAATAGTTAAATTTTGTACTATAATTTTTAACCCCATAACACATCAAATAAGTAGAGTATAAAAAGCAATATTTCAATATTATGCATTTAGGCTGATATAAAGTGTACTAATTAAGTTTATACTACTTTTTAAAATCAGAAAATATCATGTGAACAAAACTTAGATTATACATCATATTTGATGAACCCAAAAGAAGGGCAGGACTGGGTATGGTTTATAGGGTGTAAATGCTGCTTATTACAGGATATTTTATTCTAACTACTATCTCAGAAGAAAAAAAAGTGGAATAAAAAGCAATGTTATGGAAAATAACTGAATATTTTAGTTTTGGTGCTAGAGAGAATCTAATTTTCATTTTTATTTAAGCAGACTCTATGACTACATGCAGAAACGCTAGCAATTGTTTCATCTGGGTCCTATAGAAGACTGTGACCTTCTGGGGAGGATCTGTCAATTCACTGATGTTAGAAAAGTAACCAGCTTTAACTCAGGGCAGACTGACTTGGAATAATGTAAAACCAAACCAGGATATCATAAGGTAATCTAAGAGCTTATGTAGAAAAAGCTAAAATACAAAATTTCAATTAATATTAGCTCTAATCAATAGTCACTGGAGAAAATAGTTATATGGGTTTAAATTGTGAACTTTTGAAGTAGTTATATAGAAAAGAAAAACCTTCAAGTCTTTATGTTTTAGAAGTTTGAACACAGAGTGCTTCAGCAAAGAAGAATCCCTTCTCCAAATCCTTTGCTGTTTGTGAAATATTTATGCAGGTGAAAATGAAAGAAATGTTTCCATATGAAGAAGTTAGTAATGGAACTCGTCATTCTCTTTTTATAGTCATATATTGACTGTATGTCATTCAGTATCCTTGGCTATTAGAGAATGGCCACAGCACAGAATGACTGGGAGCAGAGATAGTCTCCAAATAGTCTGGATTTGATATTTAAATGTCTTAAATATACATGTCAATTATAGAAATAATATTATGAACATGGCCAGTTAGAATTTGAAGCATTACAACATCAGAGCAGTCACATTTTATTGTAATAAAATGAATGTGGGCTTTGGGGCAGACTTACTTGTATTCAAATTCAGGTGCTGCCACTTTGAGTGAGTCTTTAAGCAAAAAAATTTTTTTTTCATTTTTAATGTTTATGGGTACATAATAGATATATATCTATATACTATATATAGATATATACTTACGGAGTACACGAGACTTTTTAACACAGGCATACAATGCTGGACAAAAATTTTTTATTTCACTTTAATAGTAATTTGTAGTAGTAGCACAGTCAAAACAGTAATAATAGTATTTATTGAGCATTTACTGTGTTCCAGGCATCATTCTAAGTTCTTTTCTATATTCCTTTAATTCTCACAAAATCCAATGAGATAAGTATTATTAATATCCTCATTTTACAGAAAAAAATTGTCACCAATTTTTTAATAATAGTCCCCAAGAACTATTTGTATATTAGAATTTCTTGAATATATTTTTAATTACACACTATGTAAATATGTAAAATGTATATCATGGGTATCTTGAAGAGATAAATCTCTCTTAGTAGGTATTTATTAAAAGGTAGGTATAATTTTATTACTGTAGGGAAACAGATTGTTCTTTAAATTCATAATAATAGCCTGCCTGCCTGCCTGCCTGCCTTCCTCCCCTCCTTCCTTCCTCCCTCCCCTTTCTTCCCTCCTCCCCTTTCTTCCCTTCCTTCTTTCCTATCATCTTTCCTCCCTCTTGCTTCCTTGCCTTCCTGACTCCCTTACCTTCCAGACTTTCTTCCCTATTCTGCAGCCTTTGCCTCCCTGGCTCCCTTTGTCTCTTCTTCTCTTCCCTCATTCCCTTTATCCTTCCTTTGGTCAGATAGTCATCCCAGTAAGTATTTCTGTGGGACTACACACTGTGTTAGTCATCCCAGTGAAAATCATGTGGTGAATAAGAGATACAGTTTTTCCCTAGTGAGCTCATGGGCTTGTGGTGGGGAATTGAGGAGCTGTGTTAGTCTGTTCTCACACTGCTATAAAGATTTTATCTGAGACTGGGTAATTTATAAAGAAAAGAGGTTTAATTGAATCACAGTTCTGCATAGCTGGGGAAGTCTCAGGAAACTCACAGTTATGGAGGAAGGTGAAGGAGAAGAAAGCACCGTTTTCACAAGGCAGCAGGAGAGAGAGCAAGAGCAAGGAAGTGCCACACTTTAAAACTATCAGCTCTCAGGAGAACTCACTATCACAAGAATACCATGTGGGAAGCAGCCCCCATAATCCAATCACCTCCCGCCAGGTTCCTCCCCTCAACATGTAGGGATTACAATTGGAGATGAGATTTGGGTGGGGACACAGAGGCAAACTATATCAGGAGGTAAGCATTAAAGTCATTAAAATACAATTAACCAATTGTGAAAATAGAGGAAGATGCTTGAGAATTTGTAACAGAGGGCCTGACCTAGGCTAGGGACTTTTTCTCAGGTTAAATAATTTAATATATAGAGCTATAATTACACTTGGCTAAATTAATTTTGTTGATTCTGTCAGAGATTCAATTTTAATGTTAGATAATTTAATATGACTTTGAAATGATGATTTACATATTACATTCTACTTACCTAATGTCATTTTAAAGTTGCATTCAAATTTTTGATTTATATTAAAATTAAGACATAGTTTTAAAGGAATACTATCTAAACTTTACAGAGTGTACGATTATTTTATAGCCATTTTTCCCTTTGGAAATGCACTTCTAGAAAAGCAATGAAGAAATAATACTTGATTTATAAAATTCAACCATACAAAAGAAATCTTTTCAGAAACACATCCTGTTGCATAATTTAAAAATACTTTGGAAGTTGCCTTGGAACATGAAAATCATCATAAATGAAATAGTCCTCATTATGCTGTTGACTAAGTCACAGATACTATAATTGGAAAAACTGAAAGGACAAGAGAATTTTCTCAGGACAGCAAATAAGTCATATTTTCATCATATATTTTGCTTATCACATTTGCTTATCACATATCTCTATATAATCAGTCCCATGGGACATTTAAATTGGTTGGTCCAGTTGAAATGGGATTGTTGGAAATTAATGCATTTCTAGATATTATATTTCATAATTTAAAAAATTTGGAAATGAAATAAAACTCAAGTTCAATTTCTTAGAAGAAAATTGGACTGTGACTTGAATCTGCAGGATAGAGAACTCAGATGTATTACTGATTTACAACCACTGAATTTATGGTTATTTGTTTATTTATTTTCTGTGCTGCTTCAGGCCTTGATTGGAAGTTAACAAAGTTTTGATTATTCAATTTTGCTGCTTGAACTGAGAAAGAATAAGTAGTATTGATGGGTAGAAAAGGTGGCTATTTAATAGCAATACAGGAAGTATGAATGCTTATCTGTACTTTCTCCCTAATATAACGCAATCAACATAGCAATAATTCTTAATGGTTTAAGAACAGAAAAAAAATAATAGTTAGCTCTATTGATCTTTTTAATGCTGTGTAACAAATGATCACAAACTTATTGGTTAAAGTCAGTATAAATGTATTATCCCTCAGTTTCCGTGAATTAGGAATCTATGCCTAGGCTAACTAGGTCCTCTGCTCAGGGTTTTCACTAGGCTGAAATCAAGTTGTCAGCCAGGTTTGCAATCTCAGCTAATGCTTGAGATTCTCTTCCAAGCTCACTGGCTGTTGGCAGAATTCAGTTCCTCGGAGCTGTAGGACTGAGGCCCTCAACTGCTAGAGGTTTCCCGTGGTTCCCTGTCTCGTGGCCCACTCTGCAAGTAAGTACAAGTTACACTACAAGTTACACTCTAGAAGTAAGCTTGGCAGTTTACTTCTTCAAGACCAATAGGAAAGCAACTCTGCCATTTTGAATCTATTTTTCTGTCCCTGATCTCTAGACTCTCTTTCAGTGGGCTCACCTGATCAGGTAAGGATAATCCCTCTTTTGATTAACTTAAAGCCATCTGTCTAAGCATCTCAATTACATCTTCAAAATCTCTTCATCTTTGCCATATAAACTAATCATGGGCATGATATCCCATCATTTTCACTGGGCCCACCCACACTCAAGGGAAAGGGAGAATTCTACCTAACACAGAAGGTTTCCCCAGGATTATTGCCACCTGGATCATTTTCAAATACTAATAGATACAGAGAATACCATCAGGAGAGAATTATACAGTAATTGATACGTCTCTGATAAATTAGTTGATATTAAAAATAAACTTTTAGTAAACTTTATAACTTCAGAAATATAAAAACTAAATCAATTGACATTTAATTAGAAAAAAGTGTCAAAATATATTGCAACATTATGCATTTTATATTTTTGGTATAAAAATTAAAATATGACAATATTTTTATGAAAAGGTATTTATGTGTTATATCCTATTCACATACCTATTTTAAAGTAGCAAAACATTGGTGAATTGAATTTTTAGGCACAGCAGTAAGACTATTTTTTTTTTGAGACAGGATGTCGCTCTTTTTCCCAGGCTGGAGTGCAGTGGCATGATCTTGGTTCACTGCAACCTCCACCTCCCTAGTTCAAGTGCTCCTCAGCCTCCAGAGTAGCTGGGACTACAAGCAAATGCCACCATGCCCAGCTAATTTTTGTATTTTTTATAGAGACAGGGTTTTGCCATGCTACCCAGGCTGGTCTCAGATTCCTGGGCTCAAGTGAACTGTCCACCTCAGCCTCCCAAAGTAGACTATTCTTATATTTTCCTTTCATTGTGGAGTAAAACAAAAATTGTTTCATATGAATACATTTTCACAGTAGGAAGAAACAAATTTCATTCTTAACTGAAACTTACAATGGCCAGAAATTAAGCCACTCCCAAAGTCATTAATTGTTTCACCTTTGGCTTCTTACCTCCCATTTATTGAAAATCAAGAGGAAAGGCTGGGTGTGGTGGCTCATGCCTGTAATCCTAGCATTTTGGGAGGCCAAGGCAGGCAGATCCTGAGGTCAGGAGTTTGAGACCAACCTGGCCAACATGGTGAAACCCCATCTCTATTAAAAAAAATACAAAAAATTAGCCACGCATGGTGGTGGGTGCCTGTAATCCCAGCTACTCGGGATGCTGAGGCAGGAGAATCACTTGAATCTGGAGGAGGAGATTGCAGTGAGCCAAGATCGCACCACTGCACTCCAGCCTGGGCAACAGAGCGAGACTCCCTCTCAAAAAAAAAAAAAGAAAGAAAGAAAGAAAAAGAAAATCAGAGGGTGTAAAGTTGCATGTTTTATTTGAAATATTCTGACTTCTGTATTTTTTATTTAAATACAGTTTTAGAACCATAAGACTTTACATTTAAAATACGTAGGGCCTTGGATCAAAAAATATATATAATTTTATACATAAATACAAAATATACAATAATAAAACTCACAAATGTTGAAATGACAAAAATATACATAACACAGATTAACAATAATTAGATTATATATATATACATATATATAATTTTGATATTTAGAATTGTTCCCTTGCATCCATACACAAATAGAGCATCAGGGGCTTCTGTTCATGAATTATATGTAACATTTAACTTCCAGTTTGCTTATTTTTTAAGACCTATTAACAAACAATTAATAAATAATGAGATTAGTCTTTTCTTAAATTTATCTAAAGTAACTTTAGAAGAAAGATATTTCTAGCACCTTTTATATTTATTTACTTTTACAACTTTTCATGTTTTAGGAATGACTTCTAACATTTCTACTGAATCAAATGTGTACAAGAGTTTGTAAAGGCTGGCTGTAAGAAATTATTTTCATGCTGTATCAGATTAACAAATACTATTTAGAAAATTCTTCCCCAGGTACATAACCCCTTTTGCAGTAGTGTTTATTGAAATGAATATGAATTTGCAGAAAGCCACATGATACTGTCTGAGCACAGACTTTGGAGTCAGACAGAACTTAAAGGCACAGCCTCTTGCCAACGGTGTGACCTTGGCTTGTTATTTACTCTTTCAGAAGGTCAGTTTGTCACTCAAGTAATATAATATAGAAATGAGGTATGAAAAATTATTAGCATATTATCAGACACAAATTACATTCTGAGCAAGCAGTGGTTAATATTTTTATTAAAATATGAGCATCCTATATTTTCTGATAATATCAAAATGAAATTTTTGACTCTAATTTTACTCTTGCCTTACGAAGCATTGGAAGAGATTGTAACAACAGTGTAAACAAAACAACACAAGAGTTCATGTTTTGGCATGATATGCTCTTGGTTAAACAGGTGAAGGTCTGTGTTATTTAACTATCTGCATGTCAGCCCCATATTGATAATATTCTACATTGTTTCTGTCATTTGGAAAGCATAGGCATCATTTCAAAAGCTTCATGTTAAAAGCTGGAAGGAAAATTATATTATGTCAACATGACCTACTCCTGATTCGTGAACCTTTAATTTTAGTAGTACTTGTGTTTTTTTTTTATAAGCTTGAGGAACAACAACAACAAAAAAAGTTACATGTAATTGAGGTTTTGAGACTGTTTAGAATTAATCACTTCAAATAAAAAAAAAAAATCCAACATTCTCAGCAAACTATCGCAAGGACAAAAAACCAAACATCGCATGTTCTCACTCACAGGTGGGAATTGAACAATGAGAACACATGGACACAGGAAGGGGAACATCACACACCGGGGCCTGTTGTGGGGTCGGGGGAGGGGGGAGGGATAGCATTAGGAGATATACCTAATGTTAGATGACACGTTAATGGGTGCAGCACACCAACATGGCACATGTATACATACGTAACTAGCCTGCATGTTGTGCACAAGTACCCTAAAACTTAAAGTATAATAATAAAAAAAATCCCTCTATCCAAGGTAGAGATCACCTATAATTGCTAGATTTTTAACTCTGGGAGATGTTGACATTCTACCTGCCACATGTTATCAAAACATGGTATGTCTTTAGTAAAGACAAATGCCTACCCATCTCCTGAACTAAGTGCTGATCTCATTTTGCCTATCTTTTGCCAACCACTTGATGTTCACATGGGAAGTCAATGATCACTATGCCAAAATTTCCTTTAAAAAAATAACAGTTTCAACTAGAAATCCACATACTATTCTGGGTTCCAAAACCAATACACTGGGATCTTGAGGTGTCCTTTGCCTCCAACATACCAGATTCTGAGTAGCTATTATATATTTACTCAGTGATACAAAGAAAAAAATACTGCCTCTTTATGACTTGAGACTGCTTATATCTCACCTAAAGAAACAAATATATTATTGAGATATGCTTAGGAGAATAGGCTGATTAGCTCATTGATTCAGCCAATATGTTGTTATTGAGAACATTACAATAACATTCTTTTTACACAAGTTCTAAAGAAAACTGGGGAACAAAATAAATGGTCCTTGTCTTTGAAAACTTAAAATTTTGTTCATAAATTTATGATCAAGGGTCTATAAATAACATGATTTTAAATTCATGCCCATCATCCAAATTATCTTAATTTTTCTTTGATTGCATTCCTGTTCCTTCACTCTTCAGGCTTCATTCTTTGCACTTTCCAGTTATGTGACCTTAGTCAATTCATTAAGCTATCCAAGCTTCAGTTTTCTCATTTGTAAAGCAGAAATAATAACAGTACTTAATAATTTTCCTGAGGAAGAAATAAGATGATTGTGAAACACCACGGCCTAGTTGTGAGAAAAAGCTAAATAAGCACTAGCAATCACACAGTTGTGTGTGTAATAATTACAGTTGTCTGAATAATAGCAATCACAATAATAATAAAATTACAATAATAATTTTTATATTTGTTCATGATTGAATGCCACTATATTGCTGACATTTTAGAGCAAACATAAAATGTAATTATAGCCACAGAACAACAGAATATTGCTGTTAGATTAAGCACAAAAATCAAGTTACTGCAATACCAATTTTACACAGATACTGATATTAAGAAAGGCTGTGCTACCTACCCATTGGTGACGGGAAACCTAGTTCTTTTCTACATCACTCTGCATTATAATAATACCTAGAATTTATTGTGCACTTACTAGGTCTAAGTAATGGAATAAAAAAACCAGTAATTTAATTTAATGTACTTTCACAGCAATCCTATGATGGGTATATATCACTGCTACTATTTCTATTACTATATGGGAGGAAACTGAGCTTCCTCTGCTCTGAGTGGCAGAGCCCGGGTATGAACATGGGTAATCTGACTCCAGAACCCAAATACATAACCACTCTACCAGATGTATAAATTTGTACATATATTTCTCTGTGTATGTGTTTTGTGTTTAATTATATAAATACAATATATGAGTTAAATACGTATGTGGTATTTTTTACAGAATTTCATTGTCCTTATTTTATCTCTCTTCCTTAGGCTTTAAAGAGCATATATTCTAACATTTTTTAAACTTTTAGAATATTTATTTACAATGGTGGCTCAGAATATGAGAAATTAGTGACTTAGGGAAGGAATTTCTCGTTTTAGTTTTCTCATTTGTAAATTGAAATAATCTGGGTTCAGATGACCTTAAAGTTAACACTTTTGAAACAAGAAGCAAAATAAAACAGATCTAAATAAATAAATCTGGGATATTATTTAGCAGGAGGAATTTCATGTTCTTTAATAACAAGAGGAAGAAAAAAGGTGAATAAATGATACAGACATGGAATTGGGAAAAACTGGTTCCTTCTATATAACAAGATAAATATTAAAAGAAATATAGTATTTTAACAAAAGTTGAATACGGTATGATAACTTTTTTTTTTTTTGAGACAGAGTCTCGCTCTGTCGCCCTGGCTGGAGCTCAGTGGTGCAATCTCAGCTCACTGCAACCTCCGACTCCTGGGTTCAAGCGATTCTCCTGCCTCAGCCTCCCAAGTGGCTGGCAGGCTGGCATTACAGGCAAGCACCAGCACGCCTAGCTAATTTTTGCATTTTTAGTAGAGATGGGGTTTCACTGTGTTGGCCATGCTGATCTCAAATTCCTGACTTCAGGTGATCCACCTGCCTCGGCCTCCCAAAATGCTGGGATTACAGATGTGAACCACTACACCCGGCCAACATTTTTAAAAGGTTGTAATATGTAAGAGTTCAATGTCAAACAGTTCCATATATATTCATTAAATATGCTATGAATATATATATGTCAATTATTAATACCAAAGATTGGTAGACAATTCTTCATGGGGCTCATGTGCTTCTGGATGTCTTACACGAAGGACTGAATGTCTTTGTTCCAGAATTTCTTTTCAGGGCTATTTTTGTAGCAAAATGTCTTGGAAGACAAAGATAAATGGTACCTCTCTCTGGAACAAAGGGCAAGTAGGGCTTACTATTCAGGATAAGATTCAGGTTCCTTAAGTGCAGAGTTCCTCTCCTATAACACCATCCACTGCATATGCAGGTGTCACCTGTCTCTTTCTCTATCACCTCAAGATTTGGACTCAAATAATAGATGCCAAATATGCTAATACATACACTGCTTACTGTTTGAGAGAAATACACATTTGCCCATGACTCAGGAACCTGTCTTTTGCCAACGTATAGTTAGGGTTCTCCAGAGAAACAGAGCCAATAGGATATCTATAGATATATAGAAAGAGATGCATTATGAGGGACTGGCTCACATGATTATGGAGGCTGAGAGGTTTGCAAACTGAAGGCCTAGGAAAGCCAGTGGTGTAGTTCTAATATAAGCCCAAATGCCTGAAGACTAGGGGAGCCAATGTTGTGAGACCCAGTCTAAGTCCAAAGGCCCAAGAACCAGGAGCACCAATGTCCAAGAGACAAGAAGACGGATGTCCTAGCTGAAGAAGAAAGAGTAAATTTATCCAAAGGTGAGGCATAGATATCTCTTACCACTAGGGAATGTATCCAAGTCACGCAGCAAAGTATGTTAGTGGTGGAAGTTATCTGAGTCACATGGCACCAAAATATGTTAGTGGTGGTGAATCCATATGGGTCGTCAGCAACCTCAATTCTTGCCTCCTCAGAAGAAACAATTTGACTGAGGGGCAGAAGGCAGAAGTACAGACTGAGGCAAGTTATTAGAGCAGGAGTGATAGTTTATTAAAAAGCTTTAAGGTAGGAACAAAAGGAAGGCAAGTACACTGGGAAGAGGCCAAGCGGGTGACTAGAAAGACAAGTGCACAGTTTGACCTTCAGACCTGGAGTTTTATATGCTGGCATACTTTTGGGGTCTTGCATCTCTTCTCGGATTTTATCCTTGGGGTGAGCTGTCCAAATGCACAGTGGCCTGCCAGCCCTTGGGAAGTGAGCATGCCCAGTGTGTTTACTGGAGTCGTATGCATACTCAGTTGAGGCCTTCCCCACTTAGCAGCTGAGTGTCCCTAATAGGTCATGTAACAGTAAACTCCGCTATTTTGCCTCTTAGTGTACATGCTCAAGTCCACTCACGCAACTCCTGAGATCTTATCAGGAAGCTACTGATCACACCAGTTTCAGTGTTTTACTGTCTGTAGAAAGACTACCTTTTCCTGGCCCTACCTGCGACCAATTTTTATTTTAGAGAGACAGTTAACAACCACCTGACCATCACCTGATTGTCACCTGACATTCCTGGTTGGTGGAGGTCGGGGCCTCTCCTACTCTGCTCATGTCTGCCTAATTACCTACTAGAACAAATAGAGTGAATGATGCCCACCACATTGATGAGGGTGATAGTCTTTACTGAGTTTACTGATTCAAATACTAATCTCTTCCAAAACACCCTCACAGACACACCCCAAAATCATGTTTTACCAGTAATTTGGGCATCTCTTAGCTCAATCAAGTTGACATAAAATTAATGATCACAGACAGTATTTATTAAATTGAGAGTTTTTAGCTTGCAAGTAGCCTAAAATGTCAGACCTTTCACCATTCTTGACATTGAGCTTCTCAAATTACATTAAATACTAATGTGTAGGACAGGTTGGCCCTGTCTAACTTTACTAGATACTTGCTTTTTTCCCCACAAAACAGGATTTGGAGAGGGAGGCTGGTTTCTCAGTTTTCCTAGGATACTTGATACTGTGTTTTATTTTTATTTTTTCAGTTGTGGAGGCATTCATTTAAATATATTTTTAAAGGTTGTTGCTTGCAGCTCATCTTCCACTTTGTCACTTCACTTTTATCTCTTATTCTACATTTAGCCTTTTGAACAAACTCAGATACCTATTTACGCTGCATAGGAGAAGCTAATCAGTTTGGGTATGGATTCCTTCATGCTGTTTTCATATATAAGCACTTGAAAGTCCTACACTGCAATACAATAATCTTCACTTTATCATAGCAATAAAAAAGAGGGTTTTTTTAATTCCTAGATATAGACAAAAACATAAAGTAATGTATTCATACTCATTCAGAAAATTGGAAAGGAAAGAAAATTAAACTTTATCCAAAAACCAGCTACCTATTAGTCTAGGTCAGTTGCTAGTAGATTTGGAAAATATATCTGGTATGCGTGAAAGGCAGGAAGGGACTAAACTATTCCATTTTCACTTTGTCTGGTCACTGCATTTAAGCATCTATTTGTCTTTTTGTGATTATGAAGATGCTGAATTATTTTCTCTAGCAACTTTACACTCTGTATTGATGCTGAAACTTATTTAGCAGTTAAAGTTGCATTTGGAATTGAAAGCTATTAACCACAAGTGGCTAAAATAAAAAGAAAATATATGATTGGCTAAAATGTCATCAGTAAACTTTTTTGAAAATCTACTGTAACATGCCCTGTGCTAAGAACTAGGTCATAAGTTAAAATAATAATCATGCCAACATGTTTCTCAGTTAACGGTAAGACGAAAACAAGGGTTAGTCAACTTAGTCATAGAACTTTTCAGCATTAAAAATATTTAGCCCTGAGTGATTTTATGTCATTCAACTCTAGGAGTATTTGCGTTCACAAGATGAAATAAAATCTGTATTTTTTCTTTCTTTGAGTATCTAAGACACATCTGTATCTTTTCAATATTTGTACACTCTATCTTAGTATGTGCATTTTTCAATGTTTCTACATTCTATCTAATATGTGTATTGGCGACTCCAATAAGTCACTACAACAATATTTCATAATTTAGGGAAGCTGCACTTATTCAGACTTCAGGTGCCTATTCTTGATAGTTTTACAAAGTTTGCCTTTGTAAAATCTATTAAGAAACTTTTCTAGGCAAATTGATAAAACAGAGATAGTAGTTATCTATTTTAGAAATTAAATTCAAAATGCATTTTAAAAGTCTTTTAACAGCACATACATATAAAATAATTAAAGCATTTAGTTTTGACTATATATGGTCTATAAATACAATTTTAGAAAGCCTTTCATCCACACATAACAGTTAATGATAGTGTATATCAAGATTCTCAAAATATATAACTAAATTCATTATAATTATTCCATAAAATATATGTTTGATTATTATAATATATTATAAATATTGGTTGAATTGACCTTTAATTTTTTTAATTAGAGAAACTTTTTGGCAATATTCAATCATTACAATTATTACCTTTTGTGAAATCCATTTTTGAAGCCGAAACTGTTATTTAATGAGTACCTTCTCTGTTCCAGGGAGTGTACTAGGCACTAGAATTACAAAGACGACTAAAACAATTATCATTTTTTGCATATAACACAATTCTAAGATAAATATGCTAAATATGATATCTCATTATAGTTTTATAAAAACTACAGCAGGATGGAAAACTGGTATAAAAGTATATCTAAGAGAATGAGTCATTTTCTATGGATAAGTGTATGAAAATGGAAATAATGTAGAATCCTAGAGAAGTATGTATATTTTTGAAGGTTGTCTAGGAAATCAAGCCAAGAAGAAGTTTGATAGGTTTAAGGATGAGAGAGGCTTTATGACAGGAGAAACAAAAAAAGCACAGGTTTAAAATCATAACAGTGGTAAGAATACCTAATGGAAGGTGAAGTCTCTGGCATAGCAAGACTGTGGAGTTTTTGCATGTAAATTTAGAAAATAAGGGGTAAAGATTAATTGGGGACATATTTATTTTGAAGGGTATTGTACTTCAAGTGCTGAAGTGTTTGGATAGTTTTCTGCAATAATTGAAGCCACTGGAGATATCACTGTCTAGTGATGTGTATTGATTTTTGTGTTTTGGGAAAAATTTATAAAACTACATGAACTTTGGATCAGAAGGAGAAAAGATGGGAGATATAAACTTATTACAATTTTTCATGTATTTCATTTTAAAGTGCTCTTGGCATTTTATTTTTATGTTTGTTTGCTTTTCTTTAAAATCTTTAATAAAGCAGTTATTAAAGACTATTTTATAACATGATAATAAAAATAAAAATCTATCTTAACCTACAACTAGTATCTTCCAAAATGTATAATTAGACCAAGACCAGTGTTTCCATTATCACCATTATTGATTTAGAACTGTTCTGGAAGTAATATCCAATATAATCAGAGAAGAAAAAAATTAAATGCATAACAATTATTTATAAAAGGAAAATTACTATAATTATTTGCAGAGTGTATGGTAGGATACATGGAAATCCATTAAATAATTAACTGAAAAAAAAACACTAAAACATATTAAGGGACTTAGAAGATTCAAACAATTGCAAAGGAATATGATATTTAGTTGCAAAGGAATATGATATTTTTAACATTATCAGGATATCATCTCCGAGTTAAGTTCCAAAGGTAATGTGAGTTCAATAAATATAATATCACTATATTTTTATTTTGAACAAGTTCATTCTAAAATTTACTTTAAGAAATAAATAAAGAGCAAGATTAGCCAGGGAAATGAGGAAAATTAAAAAAGGTATAATGAAAATGGACTAACTCTACAAATACTAAAATAAATTATAAACTATCAATAACTAAAATCATGATTTAATCTGCTAAATCAGAACAGGTGTCCAGAAATAGACACTAATACATCCAAGAACTAAATGTGGAAAAAGGATTTTTCAATCACTCATTTGTATAATTGTGTAGCCATCTGGAAAAAAAGTTGAATACAAATCTATCTGGCTTATGAATACACATAATTTGAATATGAATATACATATTCCATAATACATATTATAATGAGTTTGGATTCCCCAACCTAAATTTACAAAGAAATAAAAAATAGACATACCACTCAATAAAACTGAGCAGAAGATATGAATACACAATTCACTGGCAAAGGAATATCAGTAGCTGTAAAGCACTGTTACAGAAACTCAACTTCACTCAAGAAAAATGCACACTCAGACTACATTTATGATCCATTTTTCACCTACTTTATTTGCAAATATCAAAAATTTGATAATGTACTGCTTTGGCTAAGTTGTGGGGAAAACTAATTTTCTTACATTGCTGGTAGAAATTTAAATGGGTATAGCCTCCACTGAGGGGAATTTGACAATATCTATCAAAATTATTAACACACATGTCCTGAATGTAGTAATTCTGATAGTGTATTTGTGAAATAAGGTGTTTACAAACTTATTTTTTTCAGTATTATTTCTAATAGTAACAAGTTGGGGTAAAGGAACCCAAAACATCTAAATGCTCATCAGTAAGAGACTATTTAATTAAATCATAGTACATCCACTAGAAAGAATAAGAATGAAGAAGTTCTTAGCAAAACTTGTATGGTGCCTGACTGATACAAGTGTCATAACAGTGTGGGAAGAGCATTTCCACTGGAGTAAGAAAAAGTGACTTATTTGTATACATGCAGAATATCCCTAGGAAGATGCATAAGGTATTAGTAATGTCAGCTGCCTGTAAGGAAAGGAACAGGGTACCTGGAAGCAAAGAAAGGAGCAAGGCTTTCTAATTAATTATTTCTTACATTTTTTCCAAATTTTAACAGTTAATGTATTTCCTATTCAAATTAATTTCTAAATATAGTTGTAAACAATAAACATGAGATAGGCATTCCCATTTTTAAAATGATGGTATTTCTTTTCATCTTTGGAAGTCTGAATTACTTAGATGTGTATATGTTGGCGTCACTGGTGGGGTGGTTGTGGTGTGAAGGTATGAAAATACATGTGGCAATCTCCTTCTCAGGGTTGGTCACTAGAGTTAAAGGTTCTATTATCATCATTTTTAAGCCCCTGTAACATTAGTAGCATGTTTGCAACATGCATGGCACTCAACATCATACATTGAATAACTACAGAGGCAGCACATTTAATTACTAGCATACAGTAAAGAGCCATTGTGCTCACAAAGGTGACTTGGTGAGGAGTCCAGGATGTCATTAAATCTCCCACTAGGAATTATGTAGAATGGTTTGCATATAAATTGTAGACTTAGTGGTAGCAAATGGATTACAGCTTACAAGTTCAAATTTCAGTATCCTTCAACAGTTCTAATCACCTGGAAAAGACCTTGAGTTCAACTATTCAAATTATAGGGGTGAGTAGCACGCTGGATAATATCTGAGATATAGTTGACAAGAAACAATTGCAGGGGAAAATGAAAATAAAATAATAAAACATAAATAGAATCTTCTAAAATGTGATAATAAACTGTTACCCATTAAAAAAGTTATAATGGGAGTTATTAATCTTTATCTGAGAAATCAGTTATTCCCTAATGATATAAAGGAGTTAAAGATTTGAGCTCCTGCCTCTACAAAATATAAAAGATCCCCCTAAAGTAGAACTCACTTCTTGTGGATAAAGTCTTTATCTTTTTTGAGATGGCAGAAAGTGTCTTTCATATTATATATGCTTTTTAAATGCTGCAAATTGGATACTTTTTAGTATTGCAGGCTTACTTTGTATATTTTAGGATTCTATACCCTTTGACAATGTAAGCCTTTTTTTCTAATTTTTATATTTCTTGAGAATTTGATTCGCTGTTCTGTTAATGTCAGTAACACCTCTTTAGGTAAAATAAGTTATTTTGCAGAGAATATATATATGACTGAGTAGATTTTAAACTTAGGATTTGGAAATTTAAACTTACCAGAAGGTTGCTTTTCAGAAACTTGCAAAAGTGTATAGCCTTTAAGATATTTTCTTAAAGTTTTGTGGAAATGAACTATACCATATTACTTTGCTTTAAAATAGTGGTATCTTAAACCCTGAATAGTCTGGTTTTCCATGGCTTGTGATTTAACAATAGGTTTAATATAGGTATAGCAAAATAGATGTAGAAGTGTCCCACCCTGTCTGGAAGACAGCTTTCCTGGCAGCCTTGGACCAACCCAGTTCTCCCCTTTTCTTGCTTGTAATTCTTAAGAATACTGTAGAACCTACTGAGAATATGATATTCTGAGACAGGGAGGAACTGCCTCAAACAGTGCATGCTTTGTTTCTGTCCCTCCTAGGAAATGTAACGTCTTGGGGGAATAGCCTGGTCTTTGTTCCTCTCTCCCCTAGAAGCAGGTTCTTCTTCAAAGCTGTGCCCAGTGTGTCACATGGCCCCTGAGATACATAATCTGGGGTGGGCTGCCTTCTGGGATCCTTCAGCTGTGGTGCAAAGTGGAGCATGTGCAGTCAAGACACCATCCATCTTGGGTAGTAATGGGCATAGTGATGGCGGTTGGCATAGTGATGGTCTTTACCACAGTGGGAGCCATCTTTTGGGATTGACGGTTAGCAAACCTGCTTTGTATTCTCCCACTAAATGTGTACAGAATGATGGAATGCCAAGTCCAGGAAAATCTTGATGCTTGTCACATAGCTACTTTTTTTTAGGAAAGGGGCTTCAAAATCTATTCCACCATCTAATCTCCTACCTCTGCCATTTTTCTTAAAATTCCTCTTGTAATGTTCCCTTTAAAGAGGTACAGACCACTTCTTCCTTAGTTCAGGGTAAGTCAGCTAGAACATGATGCATTTGCTGAAAATGACCTGAATTCTTTGCAAGCAAGGACCTTATTTAGCATGAAGCCAAAGAAATCAAAACATATTTCTTAGAGGTGACTCCTCTAAGGTTGCCGTCTTGAGGATGGCTGTGGAAAAATTCCAGTTGCTTTAAATTGGCCCATTTTGCACAGCAGAGTTAGGAGAAGTAGATTTCTCTTCTGTGAGGCTAAAGAGGTATATTCCTTTTCCACCTCATGTTTCTGCATGCCTATTATGAGCATCATTGCCATGTCATTTCCTTGTGTCTCTTGCTTGAGATCCTAGGGAATTTGTCCCTCTGGATTGATAGGAA
This sequence comes from Homo sapiens, assembly GCF_000001405.40. NCBI lineage: Eukaryota > Metazoa > Chordata > Mammalia > Primates > Hominidae > Homo > Homo sapiens. The sequence goes on from NC_000005.10 coordinate 84,509,881, forward strand.
GTGATACACTGTTATATGTTGGACAGATGGCATGAGTTAGAATTTTACCAAAGTTAAATTATGGTATTCAGAATCCAACCTTGCCATGTGGAACTGTGATATAAAATAAAATATATGGATTTATATTACCAGATTTATATCACTTCAAAAACTGACCTGCCCTTTCTTTTTGTGTTTTAAAATATTGAGGGGAACATCCTTCATCCCCCTCTATGTGACAAGCCATAGTTCATTTTAGATTTTACTCTCAACTGTATCTTAATATACAAACATTACACACACCCCACATATATTCTTTATCTATGTATATGAATATGTATGAGTATATATGTATATGTAATGAGGAGGAACTTTCAGAAAATATATAAAACAAATACAATGTATGTATTCACTGATTTTAAAACATACATCAAACACAAAACAAATCTAAATCCAAGCTTCAGATCAAGTCAAGATACCCCCAAAAATAGAAAAAAAATAGCATTTCTCTTTTTCTACTAACCCCCAAAGAATTAAAGAACAACTGCCGTGTTCAGAGTACTTTGCTATTTTTTATAAAAAGCTTTATAAAAAGCCAAGGCCCATACATGAAAATTGTTTGATTCTATTTGAATGATTGTCCTGTGGGGAGCAAAGTCCTCTTCATACCCAGAGATCCAGAAATCTGTCAACTTCAGAAAACTCCTGAGGGTTGACTCCAGAGATGCAAAACCTCTGAAGGCTGCCAGAGTCCAACACTCCTTGAAGTACAAAAAATAATTATTCTCTGCATCACTTTCTTAAAGTCTTTCTCAATATTTTTCCTTCAACTTTCATAATTTTGTTGCCCTTAGCTACTTTAAGAATGTATGTGCTCATGTGCAAACCACTGTACTCTATTCCTCATAGGGAATGGTAGGATTAAAACATTTTGAGACAGGAAAATCTTTCTCCATAATAGTGCTTAGAAACTTAGTAGTGCTTAGAAATTTATTTATATTAAAACATGTATATTTAGTAATGTGTCACTTAATGACAGGGATATATTCTGAGAAATGTGTCATTAGGCAATTTCATCATTGTGTAAACATAGGGTGTACTTACACAAACTAACTAGAAGGTATAGACTACAAGACATTTGTGGTATATAGGGTATCCTATTGCTCCTAGGCTATAAACCAGTACAGCATGTTACTGTACTGAATACTGTAGGCAATTGTAACACGTGGTAAGTATTTGTGTATCCAAACATATCTAATTATAGAAAAAGTACAGTAAAAATAGGTATTAAAACCTTATGGGACCACCGTCATACATGCAATTCATTGTTGACTGAAATTTCCTTATGTGGAGAATATACATACATACATACATACATATATATATATAATATATATATATATTGTTGTCACTCCAGATTCTCTGGGAACCATACTACTTACTGGAACAGCTACCAGAAGTCTACTCTAAAATGGTTAGATTAAAAATAGAACAGCTCTGAGAAAATAGGGATTAAAGAATTATAATGCAGAAAAAAAGAAAACAGAACTGAAATGTCATGACGTGATCCTTCCAAAAAACTAGTAATAATAAAATGGTCAAATTACTTAAAATATTTAACAAACAAGGTATCACAAAAGTAGAAATGTGAACGAAAATACTGCCTGTGTGTCAGCTAGCACTTCCCTCTTTAGTAATTCTGACAACAGCTGTGATTCTCCTTCCTTCTATTCATTTTAGACTTGCTGTGTTTGACAGAAGATAAATATAAAATAAATAAACTTATCAGAGTCTCAGAAATTAGATCTATCTATATATATCAAGCAATCTCTTTTTAAAAAATATCTTCTCTACATATCTTCCTGTAATTGCACAAATGTATATAAAATATATATTCGTTGAATGAAGAGGTATATCTTTTAAAAAGAAACATATCACAATTTATAGTTGTCAAACAAAGTTACATTTAACATTAAGACACAGTTTTGATTTCTGTGCAGATATTGAAGAATCCCCAGGAGAATAAATATAGCAAAATTAATGCCCTAACTCTCTGATCACTAGTTCACACAATTCCCTTCTCCTAATTAATCTCATCTTTTTAACCAGGAAGCCTGAGTTCTTTCTTTATTAGTTACTTAGAGCCAAGTATAGGAACTACCTCAGATTCTTACTTAGTACTCTTAGATATATATATATTTTTTGAGACATCAGAGTCAGTATCTGGGTTTAAATCATATCTCCACTATTAAGAACTGGATATGAATCAGACTAGCGACAGAATGGCATGCTTATGAGGAAATTCATGAGAAAGCAGGATAATATAGAAATGAGAAGTAGATATTTTTTGGAAAACAATTTTCAATGGGTTTCTCTCTGCACCTCCTGCAAGCAGAACACCAACTCCCTTATGTTACAGAGCATCTTTTTAATGATGTTGGTATAGTGGTCAGTCTTGGATTATAGAGTGTCTTCCTCTGAAGTAGGGTAAAAAAATATATAGTGAAATAAAGCCAGTAAAATAAAAAAGAGTTTCCAGAGCAAAAGTTAAGCAGGTTGTCTTAATTATCTATCACAAAGCATGAGGTTCCATAGGTTTCGATTTCCTCAATAGTGACACAGACTCACTATTTATACAGCACCCAACTAGATTCTTCCATATTGCCCATGTGGGACTTGGAGGCAAAGGGACTGTCACAAAGATGAAACTTATAATGTTTGCTGTGCAATAAATAATAAAGTAATTGATCTCTGACCCGGAAGTATTGTACCTTCTGCCAGCATCCATGAAAATGTGGTACAGAATCTTGTTAGCTTGCAAGAGGGGAAAATTCTCAGACCCTTCAGAGTTATTGACAGGTATCTCACAAAATTTATTTTTTTTAACTTTTTAGGGGAACATGTGGAGGTTTGCTATACAGGTAAACTCGTGTTGTGGGGGTTTGTTATACAGATTATTTCGTAACTCAGGTATTAATCCTAGTCCCCATTAGTTACTTTTCCTGATCCTCTCTCTCCTCCAAACCACTACCCTCTGGTAGGCTCCAGTGTCTGTTGTTCTGCTCTATGTGTCCTTGTATTCTCATCATTTAGCTTTGACCTATAAATGAGAACATCCAGTACTTGGTTTTATGTTCCTCCATTATTTTGCTAAGAATAATGGCTTCTAGCTCCATCCATGTTCCTGCAAAGGACATGATCTCATTCTTTTTTATGACTGCATAGTATTCCATGGTGTATATGAACCACATTTTCTTTATCCAGTCTACAGCTGATGGGCATTTGGGTTGATTCCATGTCTTTGCCATTGTGAATAGCACTATGATGAACACACATGAGCATGTGTCTTTATGACAGAACAATTTATATTCCTTTGGATATATACATAGTAATGGGATTGCTGGGTTGAGTGGTCATTCTGTTTTTAGCTCTTTGAGGAATAGCTACATTGCTTTCCACAATGGTTGAACTAATCTACACTCCCACCAACAGTGTATAAGTGTTCCATTTTCTCTGCAACCTCACCAGCATCTGTTATTTTTGACTTTTTAGTAATAGCCATTCTGACAGGTATGAAATGGTATCTCATTGTGGTTGTGATTTGCACTTCTCTAATGATCAGTGATGTTGTGCTTTTTTTCATATGTTTGTTGGCCACAGGTATACCTTCTTTTGAGAAGTATCTGTTCATGTCCTTTGCCCACTTTTTAATGGGGTTGTTTATTATTTTCATGTAAATTTATTTACGCTCTTTACAGATGCTGGATATTAGACCTTTGTCAGATGCATAGTTTGCAAAAAATTTCTCCCTTTCTGTAAGTTGTGTATGTACTCTATTGATAGTTTATTTTGCTGTGCAGAAGATCTTTAGTTTAATTAGATCCCATATGTCAATTTTTGCTTTTGTCGCAGTTGCTTTTGGCATCTTTATCATGACATCTTTGCCTGTTCCTATGTCCAGAATAATATTTCCTAGGTTGTCTTCCAGGGTTTTTATAATTTTGTGTCTTACATTAAGTCTTGAATTCATCTTGAGTTGAATTTTGCATGTTATAAAGAAAGAGTCCAGTTTTAATCTTCTGCATATGGCTAGCCAGCTATCCCAGCACCATGTATTGAGTAGGGAATCCTTCCCCCATTGCTTGTTTCTGCCAGGTTTTTCAAAGATAAGATAGTTGTAGGTGTGAAACCTTATTTCTGGGTTCTCTATTCTGTTCCATTAGTCTGTGTCTGTTTTAATGCCAGCATCATACTATTTTTGGTTACTGTAGCCCTCTAGTATAGTTTGAAGTCAGGTAGCGTGATGCCATCCAGCTTTGTTCTTTTTGCTTAGAATTGCCTGGGCTATTTGATCTCTTTTGGTTCCATATTAATTTAAAAATAGTTTTTTTCCAGTACTGTGAGGAATGTAATTGGTAGTATAATAGTAATTGCATTGAATCTATAAATTGCTTTGAGTAGTATGGCCATTTAAACAATATTGATTCTTCCTATCCATGAGCTTGGAATGTTTTTCCATTTGTTTGTGTCATCTCTGATTTCTTTGAGCAGTGTTTTGTAGTTCCCTTGCAGAGATCTTTTACCTCCCTAACTAGCTGTATTTCTAGGTATCTTTTTCTTGTGTGTGTGACAATTGTGAATGGGATTGCATTCCTGATTTGGTTCTCAGATTGACTGTTGTTGGGGTATGGGAATGTTAGTGAGTTTTAACATTGATTTTTGTATCCTGAGACTTTGTTAAAGTTGTTTATTGGCTTAAGGAGGTTTTGGGCTGAGATTACGGTTTTTTCTAGATATAGAATTATGTTGTCTGAAAATAGGGATAGGATGACTTCTTCTCTTCCTTTTTGGATACACTTTATTTCTTTCTCTTGCCTGATTGCCCTGACCAGGACTTCCAATACTATGTTGAATAGGAGTTGTGAGAGAGGCCATCTTTTTCTTGTGCTAGTTTTCAAGGGGGTATGCTTCCAGCTTTTGCCCATTCATTATGATGTTGGCTGTGGGTTTGTCATACAGGGCTCTTATTGTTTTGAGTTATCTTCCTTCGATATCTTGTTTATTGAGAGTTTTTAACATGAAGGATTGTTGAATTTTATAGAAAGCCCTTTCTGCATCTATTGAGATAATCATGTGGTTTTTGTCTTTAGTTCTGTTTATGTGATGAATCACATTTATTGATTTGCATATTTGACCAACTTGCATCTAAGGGATAAAGCCTACTTGATCATAATGGATAAGCTTTTGAATGTGCTGATGGATTCAGTTAGCCAGTATATTGTTGAGGATTTTTGCATCAATGTTCATCAGGGATATTGGTCTGAAGTCTGCTTTTTTGTTGTGTCTCTGCCAAGTTTTGGAGGGAGGAGTCTCTCCCTCTTAATTTTTTTGGAATAGTTTCAGTAAGAATGGTACTAGCTCTTCTTTGTTCTTCTGGTAGAATTTGACTGTGAATCTGTCTGGTCCTGGGATTTTTTTGGTTGATCGGTTATTACTGATTCAATTTTGGAGCTCATTATTGCTCCATATGGAGATTCACTTTCTTCTGGCTCAGTCTTGGGAGGGTTTATGTATCCAGGAATTGATCTATTTCTCCAGATTTTCTTGGTTTTTGCATAAAGATGTTCATAATATTCTCTGATAGTAATTTATGTTTCTGTGGGGTCAGTGGTAATATCCCCCTTGTTTCTAATTGTGTCTATTTGGATCTTCTCTCTTTTCTTCTTAGTGTAGCTTCCTGCCTACCTACTTTATTAATTAAAAAAAAAAACAACTTCAGGATTTGTTGATCTTTTGAATAGTTTTTTGTTTCTCAGTCTCCCTTCATTCAGCTCTGATTCTGGTTATTTCTTGTCTTCTGCTAACTTTGGGGTTGTTTTGCTTTTTGCTCTCTGCTTCTTTTAGTTGTGATACTAGGTTGTTAAATTAAGATTTTTCTAACTTTTTGATGTGGGTGTTGGGTGTGTAGTGCTATAAACTTTCCTCCTAACACTCCCTTAGCTGTGTCCCAGAGATTCTAATATGTTCTATTTTCATACTCATTAGTTTCAATGAATTTCTTGATTTCTGCCTTAATTTTATTATTTACCCAAAAGTCATAGAGGAGTAAGTTATTTAATTTCAATGTAATTGTTTGGTTTTGAGTGATTTTGTTCAGTCTTGATTTCTAATTGTATTGCACTGTGTTCTGTTAGAGTGGTTATCATAATTTCAATTCTTTTGCATTTGCTGAGAATTGTTTCCTGCTTGATTATGTGGTCAATTTTGGAGTATGTGCCACGTGGCCATGAGAGCAACCTATATTCTGCTGGTTTTGGTTGGAGAGTTCTGTAGATGTCTACCAAGTTCATTTGATCCAGTGTTGAGGTCAGGTCTGAATATCTTTGTTAATTTTCTGCCTTGGCGATGTGTCTAATACTGTCAGTGGGGTGTTGAAGTCTCCCACTACTATTGTGTGGGATCTAAGTCTCTTTGAAGGTCTGTAAGAACTTGCTTTATGTATCTGGGTGCTCCTGTGTCGAGTGCATATATATTTAGAACAGTTAGATGTTCTTCTTGAATTGAACCCTTTACCAATATGTAATGCCCTTCTTTGAATTTTTTGATCATTCTCCTTGAAAAGTCTGTTTGCCTGAAATTAGAATTGCAACCCCTGCTTTTTTCTGTTTTCCATTTGCTTGGTAGATTTTTCAGTTTCCCTTTATTTTGAGCCCATGGGTGTCATAACATGTGTCATGGTTCTCTTGAAGACAATATACAATTGGGTCTTTTTCTTTATCAAGCTTGCCACACTGTGCCTTTTAATTGGGGCATTTAGACCGTTTACATTCAAGATTAGTATTGATATGTGTGGGTTTTAATCCTGTCATCAAGATGTTAGCTAGCTATTATGCAGACTTGTTTGTGTGATTGCTTTATTGTGTCACTGGTGTGTATACTTAAGTGTGTTTTTTTGTAGTGGCTGGTAATGGTCTTTCCTATCCATGTTTAGTGCTTCCTTCAGGACCTCTTGTAAGGCAGGTCTAGCGGTAACAATTCCCTCAGCATTTGCTTGTCTGAAAAGGATCTTATTTCTCCTTTGCTTTATGAAGCTTCGTTTGGCCGGATATGAAAATTTGGGTTGGACTTTCTTTTCTGTAAGAATGTTGAGGCCGGGCGTGGTGGCTCATGCCTGTAATCCCAACACTTTGGGAGGCCAAGGCGGGTAGATCATGAGGTCAAGAGATTGAAACTATACTGGCCAACATGGTGAAACCCATCTCTACTACAAATACAGAAATTAGCTGGGCATGGTGGTGCGTGCCTGTAGTCCCAGCTACTCGGGAGGCTGAGGCAGGAGAATCACTTGAACCTGGGAGGCAGATATTGCAGTGAGCCAAGATCACACCACTGCACTCCAGCCTGGTGATAGAGTGAGACTCCATCCCTAAAATAAAAGAATAAAAATAAAGAATGTTGAATATTGACCCCTAATTTCTACTGGCTTGTGGGGTTTCTGCTGAGAGGTTTGCTGTTAGTTTGATGGGCTTCCCTTTGTAGGTGACCTGACCTTTTTTTCTAGTTGCCTTTAACATTTTTTCTTTGATTTTGACCTTGGAGAATTTGATGATTATCTCTCTTGGGAATGATCATCTTGTGAACTATCTTACTGGCATTCTCTGCATTTCCTGAATTTGAATGTTGGCCTCTCTACTTGAGTTGCAGAAGTTCTTGTGGATGATATCCTGAAATATGATTTCCAAGTTGCTTCCATTATCCCCATATCTTTCAGGGACACCAATGAGTCATAGATTTGGTCTCTTTACATAATCCCATATTGCTTGGAGGTTTTGTTACTTCTTTATTATTCTTTTTTCTCTATTTTTATTACCTTATTTCAGAAAGCCAGTCTTAAAGCTCTGAGATTCTTTTTTCTGTTTGATTTATTCTGTGATTAATACTTGTGATAGCATCATGAAATTCTCATAGTGTGTTTTTTAGCTCTTTGAGTTCTTTTCTATACTGGCTATTTTGTTTGTCTGCTCCTGCATTGTTTTATTGTGATTCTTAGCTTCCTTGGATTGGGTTTTAATGTACTCCTGCATCTCAATGATCTTCATGCCTATCTGTAGTCTGAATTTTATTACTGTCATTTCAGCCATTTCAGAATGATTCAGAACCCTTGCTAGTGAGATGGTGCAGTTACTTGGAGATAAGAAAGCAATGTGGCTTTTTGAGTTGTCAGGGTTCTTGTGTTGGTACTTTCTCATCTTTGTGGATAGATGTTCCTCTTATCTTTGAAGTGTTGACTTTTGGATGGGTTGTTTTTTCTTTTATCCTGTTTGATGACCTTGAGGGTTTGATTGTGGTAAAAGGTGGGTTCAGCCGACTGATTTTGTTTCTGGAAGATTTTTGGGAGCCAGCACACAGCTGCCAACTCCTGGACTGCATGCTCTAACTCTGGGTAACTCATATTGGGCCCCAACTTTGTTATCTGGCTCCTTGTGGTTAGTAATCCACTGTGCTAGGGGGTCAGGGTGCTCCCAATAGGCTGGTCACTACACTCCAATAGGTGTTGTCAGTCAAAGCATTTTGTAGTGCGGTGACAGCGGGACCTGTCCTTGTTGGCATGTGCCAGCAGTGGCAGCAGCTGCAGCTGCAGTGTGCCATGGTGCATGCTTATTGGCTGTGCCAGGGTGCCTGCCTCCCTGCAGGTGTTAACAGCAGTGGCAGAGGCAGCATGGCTCAGTGGGGTGGAAGTTCCCACTGGCAACTGTGCACGTGGTCATGCTGGTGGTTGTATTATAAGAGGGGCAGGGTGCTGGTGGGCACAGGTCTGTGTGCGCCCTATGTGTGCATTTGCACAGATGGAGGTGGCTGCTTAGGGTGGGGGAAGGTCCAGGTGGGCTGATGTGTGGCTGCAGGGGTTGGTCTGTTGAAGCTCTCTGCTGGTTAAGCATGGTCTGCCAGTGCAGGAGCTGTGATGTGGGCCACCAGGGCACCCAAGGCTGCACTGCAAGCAGGCGTGGCTCAGTTGGGATACTGGAGAGGCCAGTAAACCAAGGAGTGTTCAGGTCAGATCACCCCCATCCGATGGCCAAGACTGTGCTGCAGAATTCAGGTCAGACAGTTCTTCTTGGGCTAAAGTCTTCTATGGGAGCAAGTGGAGCCTAGGGGGATGGACATACCTTGCTGTGCTTCACTACAGATGCTCCCACTGGGCTCTGCACTGGCTGGTATGCTGCCCCTAGCACTTCTCCTTGCCAATGCAAGTGTTCACAGTGGTAGAGGAATTTCCTCCTGCCTGGATTCCAGAGTCCCATGGCGAGAGCAGGTTGCTCCTTGCCTGTTCAACTCATCTGTTCCTCCAGAGTTTTTAGGGTCCAGGAATGAGTCCTGGTATGCAGTAGCCCCATGCAGTGTTCCCAGCTTCCTTCGACTTCAGCCCAGCTTCTGCATCTTCCCTTTGTCCCCTTCTCAGTGCCTTCTCTCTGAAGATCTGTTAGGAGTGTGCCAGTCATCCTGGTCCCTTGGTGGTAGCTTTTCCACCTGGCTGTGTCTAGTCAGCCATCTTGCCTGCCTACTAAAATTATTAAACTATTAATCACCACCAAAATTATTAAACCACTCTATTCTTTAATGTCTTACTATGTAAGATAAAAGATTGTGAAAATAGTTTTATAATAGTATCTCTGAGAGGATTAAATGGCATGTAAATCCAAATTACTTAATCTAGTACCTACCATATAGTAAAAGTAGATAAAGATTAGATAATGTTACCTTACACGTACATATCATAAACCAACAGTGCTTTAATATGATTTAGGGCTGTATATTAAACAACAATCTCATCCTATCAAAGTAAAAATGAAACTTCCTTCTCTCCCTATAATTTTTGTTGTTGTAAAACTCTGCTAAGTTTCCTAAGTTCCTCCTTGGGTAATTTTCCCATGTTGTCCCAGACTTTCCTATTTATTTCACCTCAGATTAATAAACATTTATTGAGCAGCGTCGGGAATACTCAGTTATATAGTTTATGACAATGAGTGGATCAGAGAGGGAACAATTCACACTGATATGACTTCTCCTAAATCAATTTTTAATAATTATATTTTAAAAGTCAAGGCAAAACAAAACACTTATTCACCCTTGAAAAGTGCAGGAACCAAGTACACCTGGAACTGCACATACATATTCAATAATTGATTTGAAACCAAATATCCTTATACCTCCCGAGCCTGTAGGTCCAACCAGGTCACACTAATATAAATTCTCAAATATTGCTGGCTTGTTTTTTGCATAATTTGAGGAAATCGATATCTACTTCAAACTCTTTCCCAGTTGTTTCTGGTAGGCCCTAGAAGTTTTCTGAGGGGAATCAGAAAATAGCTGCTCTGGTCTGATTTCTTTGCAGAGCTTCTCTGCCTGGCAGGCCAGTGGCTGGTGTTGGTCACTGCTGTTCCTCCAGTGGCAATATCTCTCCTCCTATGGTAGGTACCATAACCCCTGAGTTACTAAATTTGAGCAGATGCCAGAAGTAGAGAGTGGGGGAAAGGGGCCACTTTCTATATCTGAATCGTATGTCAGAACATGGACCCTAATTCAGCACTGCTTGTGTCAAAACTTCCAAGTGTCCCTTATGAAAGAGTTTGTCTTCTGCCCTTATTGCTTTCCCTGTGGTGGGCCAAGCTCAGTCACTGGGGACTGGCTGAGGGAAGGCATTCTGTTTGTTACAATTTTCCTTCTTCTGTGACACATCATCCACATCACAGTCCTTTGAAGGCTTTATTCCCAACATCCATGTCATATCAAGAAAATAGAGAAATTAGAACATAATCATTTCTCAGATGAAATTCTAATGTTTATTAATTGGTTGTTAAATTTGAGGCAGAGAGGATCATCACCTCCTTTTTGATTTTCCTAATTCATTGCTTAAGACTCATCAACTCTTTTTTCAGAACCCCATGAATTTTTCAAGTATCCTAATTTCTTAAACAATTCAAATCCGATCATTCCGATTGCTACAGATAAACAGAGAAAGCGTTAAAGTCTGATTAGTCCATCCCTGATATTGTTTTGATGCCCAATTATGTTGCTGTTGAGTTTGTGGTCCAGTATAAGTAGACAGGCCTTTGAACGTCATGCTATCATCCTTTGGTCAAGGGATCTCCTCCATCCCAACCAAAGTTGTAGCTCTTAACTACTCATACCTTTTTAGTTCCTGTGAACAATCATATACATGGGTATCAGTTGGTTCCAGAAGCATCCCCCACAAAAGGCTGCAGAACATAAATGTACTTCCTATAGATTTTACCTCCTTATCCCCCCTCACCTGTATCATCTAGTGCTTTTAAAGGTTTTTATGGTGAACCCTCAAAATCCAAAGGGTTTACAGACATCCTTTGCTTCCCAAACTTTCTAAAAGAGGTAATTCTTAATGATTTCAAGATAGTCGTCTGACAATTCTCTCCCTAGAAAAGAAGAATTAAAGACAACTTTAATATCAAATGAGGTACCTGCTATCATTTGAATGTAGGTTGTTTGTTCCCATCCAATCTCATGTTAAAATTTAATCTTCATTGTTGGAGATGGGGCCTAATGGGAGGTGTTTGGGTCATGGGGGTAGATCTCTCATGAATAGATTAATGCCCTCCATGTATGGTGACTGAGTTCTCACTCTATTAATTCCCATGAGAGCTAAATGTCAAAAGGAGCCTGGCATCTTCCCTCTTTCTTTCTCACTTTCTTTCTTGACATGTGATTTCTGCACATACTGACTGCCCCGCACCTTCCACCATGAATGGAAGCAGCCTGAGGCCCTCACCAGGTGCAGATGCCGTATCTTGAACTTCCCAGCCATCAGAATTGTAAGGCAAACAGATCTTTTCTTTTTAATACCTTACCTAGCATTGGACACTCATTTACAGCAACATGAAATGATTTAAGACAGTACTCATCTGCTAGAGTACCCATTACACAAGTATCTCTGAATACCAGTTGAGGCTTAGTTTCAACTCTAATTAAATATTTATTACTGTTATCAACATGGCTTTAGAGTTTTACTGCAGGGTCAGAGAAAGTCACAGGATAAATTTTGATCCATTGCAAGGTCATCTTAACATGTAAAAGCTGTGAACTTGCAAGACAGGGAAAAAATACAGAAAATTATATAAAGTGCTTGCCCGCTAAATGAGGCAAACGAGTTCAAAATGATATAAAAGAATGATACATGCATGTGAATTATACAATGGTAAGGAGTCTTTAATTGGAGAGAAGATATCAGCATGTCTTCAAAGTCCAATAGATAAATCATTTAGACATCTTAAAAATTAGTAAAACTGATAGCTAAAATCTGGGGATGGGGTTGAAAATTCAAATGAAAATAAGATAATATATAAACTAATACTCATGTTTTGAAAGCTCAGTCCTTTAATATCATACTGAAGCCTCGTTATAATAAAAATAAATAGGACTCTACCAGAGATGGGTGGAGGAGACAGCAAATATCAAATTCTTGCCAAGAACCTTCTTAGCTGTGTATACTGAAAGAGATGTAAATGAACTTCCAGTTTATTTGAGTTGCTCTTACTATTTCCTTGTGATTTTTTAATAGTAAAAAGTTTAGTATTAAGCACAGACATAATTATATTATAGTATTTTTTTGATACTTAAGATCATTTGTTATATTCAAGTATTTAACAGTTTACCCTTTTAATCTTCATTTGAAATGTGTATTTGAGTAGTTAATATTGATTTGCGATTTTATTTGACATATTGAAGAAATTTTTTTGTTAATTTTGTTGTAGATAAATATTTAAAAATATTCAAAGATACAATATGTATATGTAAACTTTGTTAAATATCAAAAGGTCTCTGGAGAACGTGGGAAGGTTTTGTTCATTATTTAGAGTATAGAAATACTTAAAGAGATGTTTAAATATATTTTCTTTGGAAATTCAGGCAACATATTAAAGAAATATAGCTAAACACTAAAAGTTTTCTTAAGTATGACAAGATGTATTAGAATTATATATTAAAATATTCAATATTTAAAATTAAAATTGGCTAGATTTATAAAAAATATGTATGAATTCTTAATTATAATAAATCTAGTATAAGTTCTAAAAACTAAAGTAAATGCTAATGGTTTTTTATTGCACCTGAATACCAAAATAACTTACTATGAAAAATATACATCTGGTAAAACATTCTAGTAAAAAAGAGATAAGTAAGTTTAATCTTACATACATTGGCAAATTGATGAAAATAAAGCCAACTATAATTAAAAGTCTACATTTTGGAGAACTTTCTCTTCAAATTTGAAAATCAAATAAAATTTAGGCCCCATGTGGTGGCTTATGCCTGTAATCTCAGCACTTTGGGAGGCCGAAAGCGGGTGGATCACTTGAGGCCAGGAGTTAGACACCAGCCTGTCCAACATGGTGAAACCCCATCTCTACTAAAAATACATAAATTAGCTAGGCGTGGTGGCTGAGGCAGGAGAATTGCTTGAATCCAGGAGGCGGAGGTTGCAGTGAGCAGAGATCGTGCCCCTGCATTCCAGCCTGGGCGACAGAGCGAGGCTGTCCAAAAAAAAAAAAAAAAGAAAAAAGAAAAGAAAAGAAAATGTATCCAAAAAGAGATTTTATTTATTTATTTTTTACAGGTAACAGGTAAATTTTTCAAATAAATAAAAGTCTTTCAAAAATAACTTGGAAGATTAAAAAAATGAAGGTTTGTTTAAATGAACTCTAAGTGTTTCCTGATTTTTTTTTTTTTTAGGTTGCAGGTAGTGTTTTTATTTTCTTTTTTATTACATCTCAGAGTATTATATCTCAGTTTTATCTACTTTCATCCTTCACTGACATTAAAAAATAAAGGATTATTAAATGGCAATGCCTTTATAATAACACCACCAATTTGGGAATTTCTGTGGTGACACTGATTTGTGCTTTTAGACTCAGATATACCTCTGAATACGTGGGCTGCATCTCCTTATAGCAAAGCATTGGAGTTCGCCTTTATTTATGTCCATTATAGATACAAAAAACAAATTGTTCAAGCACAACATCAAAGAGTTGTCTGGGAAGAACACAGGAATATTGGAAAACATTCAAGTATAAATTTATGAATGCCCTAAATTAAATTAACTTTTAAAGTATAATATAGGACTCCTGGATTGCTGTAGTAATTGGAATGTGTTTAAAAAGTACTACCATAATGTAAAATAAGTTGCTCTTCTGTATACTTATTTTACTTGCATTTTTATCTTACACAAATGGATAAACCTATCTATTTTAAATAAATTGTTACCAGTTACCTTAGATAAATATTTTTAAATTTTATTAAAATAACCATAATGACACAAAATAGAGGAATCCCAGTAGAAAAAAACAACAGGCAGGACTGATGGTTGCCTATTGGCAGACTCTTGGAGGATTTTCCATTAATTACGAGCAGGCTCAGCCTACCTTATGTGGGCTTCGTGCAAGAGTGCAAATTGAGACACATGGGCTGTGGTAGGTTGATTGCAAAAATGGCCCAATTTTCCACTCCTTCCAAAATTCTCATCTCTGCAATGTGATTTTGTAGCTTCTCTCATTAAGTGATGGAATTTCCCTGTACACAAATCCAAGCTGACTCGGACTTGTTTTTGCTAATGCAATGCAATGGTAATAATACATAGTTCTGAAACTAGGCTTCAAGAGACCTTGCATGTATCTGTCCTTTTTCTTCAAATGCTGTCACCACCATGAAACCATGTGGGCTAGCCTCATGGAGTGCTGAATCAAGACAGCTGAGACCATTTTAAGCTAGCCAGACCCCAGCCAACCAACTAGCTACTCACCAACAAGAGATCAGCCATGCCTGGCCCATATCCAAAGAATTTCTTAATGAACCCACAGACTTAGGAGAAGTAGAAAAAGTTCATTGTTTCAGCCAGTAAGTTTGGGGACATGTGTTATGCTGCATTCACTAATATAAACATCATATCTAAACATTTAAAACCATTAATCTAGCTAACTGTTAAAGAAAATGCTTTAACTTCTTATCATTATTATAATAATTTCATAACACAGAAGGCCAGGTTTAAGTTTAGAATTTGCAAACTTTTTGTTGCAGATCATAACTTAGAGGCAAGAGAAGAGCCTGCCTCCTGGCCTTAACCCAAGCCAGTGGCCTGCTCCCACTTTTTCTTGCTACTTTCAGCTCCCTTCTTCATGAGAAAACCCAATGCACAAATATGGATACATCAACGCACAAATGTGAGCTCTGCTGACAACTTCCCACTCCTACATATAGCTAGGGCCACTGCTCTGTAGAAGTATACCTGCGCAGTTAAGGTCAATCACTGGAAGGAGAAGCCCAGTGAAGAGATCTTACAGGCTCTGCGAAGAGGCTTGGAGTTATTTGGGCAGGGATTTATAATGATTCAGGTACACTCAGCATGAGAATATGGGAGAGGCACAAGGTGCAGACAGGTATGTGCCTTGCCCTTGCAGATCCTTTATCTCATAAGAGGGAAACAGCTAGAAGAGAGCCAGTTTGGATGTTTTCTAAATTGTGGAACCCAGGATGACAGTCTCTCTTGACCAGGTCTAAGGAGGCTACTGACTACAAGCCAAGAGAACTATACTAAAAACACAAATTTTGATGCAGTAGAAAATAGAAAGAGTAACTTTTATTTCTCTTCTACTCTCTGCTCCTTATTCACAAACACAAAATTTTAACACTTAGACAACTGGACAATCACACTACAATTAAATGGATAGAAACTTATGTATAAATGTACATAAATAATAGCATCTTTCTTAATTGTGCTATGCAAATATTCTCTATTTTTGCTGATTTATTTTTCTCTTTTACTGTGAGACAGAGATTTTGTTAAAATTTTCCACTGCAATTATAAATTTGTCTGGTTTTCCTTTTATTAATGTCAGTTTTTGTTTCATATAGTTTGAGTCTAAGTATTGACTGTTAACACACTTAGAATTAGTATAATATCTTCCCAGGGACTGAGCATTTTATCAGTACAAATATCATTCTTTAACTCTAGTAACTCTTTTTACTTTAAAGTCTATTTTGTCTGATTTTCATATAACTATACCTGATTTCTTTTAGTTTTTGCTTTCTTGGTAAAGCATTGTCCATTCTTTAACTTTCATGTTTTCTGGATTCTTTTATTTAAGGTATGGCTCTTCTATACCACATATACTTGTACTCTTTTGTAATCCTAACGATCTATAAAATATATGATTTTTAGAAATGTTTTCTACTCACCTTCAATTCAATTAATAATACATTTCTGTTTGAATTTACTTTTTTACCCTCTTTCTTTCTATTTGTCCCATATACAGTTCAGTATATTTCTTTTCCCTTATTTTCTTATTTTTTTCTGGATTATTTATGGAGTTTTCTTACTTCCTTATTCGTTTATAAGTTACTTATTCTATTACTCATCTTTTAGTCATTATCACAGAAATTATAATGTGCATCTACAAATTGTTGGTTTTCTACTTCTAAATATTGCAAATGTCTTACTCCTTTACCTTTTGAGATATATTTATATGTTTACATTAAATATAAATATATGTGAATTTGACATGTATTTTAAACACTACATGGTGTCATTGTTTTTGTTTTATACAGCCAATATTGATGTAGATTTATCCTAATATTAACCATTTCCTTTGCTCTTTATTCTTTTATTTAATTGTTTGCATTAAGGACCCTTTCTTTCTGCTTGAAAAAATTTCTTTATCTCAGTTTTTGTTTTTATGTAAATGTATTATGATTTCATTATTGAAGTATATATTTGCTGAGTTTTGAATTTCAGATTGAAGCTTTATCTTTTAAAACTCTGAAGATATCATTCCAGAGTTTTCTGATATCTTTATTTTTATTGAGAAATCTATAGTCTTATTGTTATTTCTTTAATAAGGTAATTTTTTGAAGTAATTCCATGACTGCTTTTATAATGTTTTCTTTGTCTTCAGTTTTCACTAATTTTACTATGATGTGCCTAGGTTTGGATTTGTTTTGGAAAAAAAAAATCTGCTTGTAGAGCTTCAATTGTTCACCATATCTTTGGCAGCTTTGTAAACATTTTCGTCATTATCTCTTCAAATATTATTTCTACCTATTTTCTCTCCTTTCTTTCTAACATATTAGACCTTGTCAGTGTGCCTCTTATATCTCTTACTCTATTTTTCATTATATTTCTTCTCCTGGTTTCGATCTGGATATTTTCTGCTAACTTATCCTTACTAACCTCTTTTACTTCATCAAAATTGCTATTACATTTATTTATCTGGTACTTAATGTCAATTATTATAGGTTATGGTTTTAGAATTGTCATTAGATTATTTAAAAATCTAAATACTAATTCCCTACTAAAATTCTCTATCTTATTCCCTATATTTAAAATACATTGTCACAGTTATTTAAAATTCATTTTTGATATCTTCAATGGGCTTGTTTCTATTGTCTACTTTTTTCCTCTTGGTTTTCTGTCTTGTTATCTCATCTGTCATATATCTGGTAAGTTTTGCTTGCATGCAGAATATTGTGTCTGAAAAATTATTGATATAATTTTTGGTTTTGGTTGATGCTTATTGTCTCCACAGAGAAATTATTTTGTTTTTTACATACAATTACACTGATAGAAGATGATCTTAATTCAATCAGTGTTTGAGCTAATTAAAAAAACAAAACAAAAACAGGGTTATAGTCTCTGTGAAGATGAGCCTATAATTTAGTTTTTCCTATTCCTGGATCTTATTCCTATGGGAGAGGTAACAGTTTTTGTGGAGGCTGATAGATTTCTATATTCCATTAATTCTAGGAAATAGCCCTTCAGGTTTCCTAATTTAAAACTTGGAGAATTTTCCAAAGTTTTTCTTTTGTGTCAGGTCCTGAATTCTAATTTTTCTTTCACAGCTCCATTCACCTCTTAATATTTCTGCTCAACTCCTTAACCTCTTTTCCACAGGTATCAAAAATTGGCAAATGTGTCAAGGCCACAGAGGAAGTGAGAAACAAGTACACAAAATATTGGGCTTATATTATTGTAGTATTCTTTTCCCTTGGATCTTGATTCCTCAAATGTGGCGGCAGCTACCTCTCTAATGTTCACAAATTAATGTTTCTTATATTTTTTAAAGCTCTCTCTATTTTTTTTTTTTTTTTGCAGAAGAATTAGGCTGATTTAAGTAAAGTCACCATATTTCCCCTTTTATATTTTTTGGCAAATATTTCCCCTTTTGTATTTGCCCTTTTATATGTTTTGGCAAATATTGTTGATTACATATAATTTGAAGAGTTATTGTGATACATAAAATCTTCATGAAAATTAAAATATGATACATTTGCAACTTACTTCTCTTAATGTAGTATTTTGGTATATAGAAAAGGATTTAATTTGCTTTACAATTACACTAATTAGTTAATCTAGCAATTCTAATCTGTGAATCTTATTTTAGCCACTAAATATATATTCCTTATTATCATATTGGGTGCTAATTGTGAATAGAATATGCATTTTAATATATGGTCATATTTTCCTCCAATTTCATTCATGGCCTCAACTTTCTTTTTTTGATTATCATCTTAAACTTTAGGATTAATAGGTAATAAATAGCCATTCATTGTTCAATCATTATAATTATTTTTTTTCCAATTATATATTCCAGTGCTAGTCTCAATGTATTTTTCAAGCTATATATGAGAGCACAATTTCTGTGTTTTCCTATGAATTGATGTAAACTGATTTGTTGTCTGATACATTGTCCTTTGCTATTCTTCATCTATATTCTAAATTTTAATTTCCCCCAACCAACAAAAAGATAAAAGTAGCACCTTAGAAATCTTTATCTCCCAGGGCACTTCAGTAAATAAGACAATAATTTCGTTTTGAAAATATAGGCTGTAAGCTCAAAACTCTAAAGACCAATACAGGAAATTATCTTGAAAAAAATAAAAAAAGAGTAATAAATTATGGTGAAATACAGTTATATCATATACGACAGAAGTAAAAAAAAGTTACTGAATATTCAATACATATGAAAGATGAATTATTTTCAGGGAGGTACAGGTCCAAAAAAATATGTTTTGTGATAATATTATGGATTAGAACAAGAAAAACAACAGGAGCAAGATACTTTCTAATAGAATTTATCTGAGTTATTTACATGTTTGCCTTTCAGGATTTCAATTATTAAATTTACTTCAATTTTTAAAATACATAATAGCACTTTTCAATAATATAGGAAAACAGTAGCTAAAAATACATAAATATCCTTGGTCATATTATGTTATTTCTAAATAGGCTATATGATGTAATTTTTAGGTCATTTTTGCAGACAGCTTTTAGAATTTTTTCAAATAGTTTTGCCAATTTTAAAAGTTGATCATAAAAATGATATTTGTTATACAGCAAATTGAGTTATAGTATTAGTATGATTTAAAACAGTATATTAATAATTTTATATTTAATATTTCTCTATCTTAAGTAGTAATTCAGTTATAAAAGTAAACCAAAACAACAGTGTTTAATTATTCCTCAGTGGGTAAAAATGCTGAAATATGGAGTAGCACTAGAAAATTTATTGAGTTAGAAGCAAGCATGTATTTAAAGCAAAAAATACATGCTTGAGATGATATATAAGAAATTTAATTATTTGTGTATAAATCTTCTTTTGAGCCCTCACCTGGTGCATCATTTGCCATTAGCAAGTATTTTTAATAAATCAATTTATACATAGCTGTCTAAACTCCTCTTAACTCTGTTTCCAATGTATATCACTTTAAGCATTTCTGACATTGAACAGAGGGAAATCCAATATGTTTAATGACACTGCAATTTGTTTCATAAGTCTTTTTCAAACAAAAATATGACACAGTGTATGATGTGTAAATTGTCTAAATGTTTTAATTTTATACTAAAATTTCTATGATACCTGTTATCAACATTTTAATGAGTAGGAACATAAAGAAAAACATACTAATGAAAAACTTTTTTTAATGAAGTACAACATTAATCTTTGAATACTGTCATTCTTATTTGTTGTTTGTATTGTACCTTAGACTCTATTCTAATTTTTAAATTGTTTTAAATTGAAATGAAGATTGAATATCATTATATTAAACTCCTCAAAGTGATGTTTACTTTTTTCCCTCTAATGTAATGTGCTCTGTCCAATTTCATTTATATTATTTAAACAAATTATTGATTGTGGCTAAGCACCTCATGTTTACTTTTGAGAGCTATACAGCAAAAGGCATGTGTATAATCTAAAATACCTCAAAGAAGAACAAAATTGAGAGGATGAAATTCTAGAACCTATGTTATAGTGAGTGTCATAAACAGAATTGCCTAGCATGGAAAAGAAATATTCAGGGATACCATACAGGTTACGATTATATCCCTCCTGCATGGCTCCACTAGATAAAGTGTAGAATAATTGAATGCATACCACGGAGAAACAGAGTTAAATCCACATAAGAAAATGTATTTCTAAAAACAGAGTTGTATAAATTATATAAAGGTGAAATAAGTCTCTGAGAATTCCAGCAGCAAATTTGTGAGAGACTTGAGAGTGGACATAGGAAAAAGGTGTATTGGCCTTGAATGTCTATATCAACACTTATAATCAGGTATTGACAATGATCAGATGATCTATGAACTATTCTATATAGAATACATAGAATTTTAATCTGTATTAAGGTTATACATTTATTTAAATTATACACTCATGATGGGACAAGTGTCAGGATGTTAAGTTGTTTTGTAACACTAATAAATTTTAAAGCAAACTACCCCTCTGACAAGGGATTAATACTTAGAATATATAAGGAGCTCAAACAACTCTACAGGAAAAATATCTAATAATATTATCAAAACATGGGCAAAAAATTTGAAAAGACATTTCTCAAAAGAAGACACACAAATGGCAAACTGTTATATGAAAAGATGCTCAACATCACTGATCATCAGAGAAATGCAAATCAAAACTGGAGTGAGATATTATCTAACCCAAATTAAAATGGCTTATATCCAAAAGACAGACAATAACAAATGTTGGTGAGGATGTGAAGAAAAGAGAAACCTTGTTTACTGTTGTAGGGAATCTAAATTAATATAACCACTATGGACAACAGTTGTGAGATTCCTCAAAAATCAAAAAATTGAGCTACCATGTCATCCAGCCATCCCACTGCTGAGTATATATTGAAAAGAAAGGAAATCAATATATCGAAGAGATATCTGCACTCCTATGTTTGTTGCAGCACTGTTTACAATACCTAATATTTGGAAGCAACCTACATGTTCATCCACAGATGAACAGATAAAGAAAATGTGATACATACACACAACAGAGTACTATTCAGCCATAAAAAAGAATGAGATCTAGTCATTTCCAACAACGTGGATAAAACTGGAGATCAATATGTTAAGTGAAATAAGCCAGGCACAGAAAGACAAGCATTTCATGTCCTCACTTATTTGTGGGATCTAAAAATTAAGACAACTGACCTTACGGACATAGGGAGTAGAAGGATGGTTACCAGAGGATGGGTCATGGGGGTGGAGGGGAAGTTGTGGATGGTTGATAGGTACCAAAAAATTTAGAAAGAATAAATAAGACTTACTATTTGACAGCACAATATGGTGACTACAGTCAATAATAACTTAATTGTATATTTTTAAATAACTTAAAGATTGTAATTGGATTTTTTGTAACTCAAAGGCTAAATGCTTGAGGGAATGGGTAGCTCATTCTCCATCATGTGCTTATTTCAGACTGCATGCCTGTATCAAAACATCTTGTGTACCCCATAAATATATATACCTATTATGTATGCTCAAAAATTAAAAAAATAATAATTTAAAAATTTAAAAAAGCTTATCTAATCCAACTATTTGTTTAATAGATAAGGAAATCAAGGCCAAGATATATGAAATGGCAACATGCTAAAAATTTTATGTGGTTAGAATGAAAAACATAAATTTTTTATCTATGGACAATAGTACCCTAGCAGAGTGATTAAGAGCTTTGGCATTGGTGTGAAACAGGACACACTATGCCACATACAAAATTTGGGACTTTTGGGAAATTATTTAATTTTTCGAATCTTAGAAATCCTAAATGCTAAAAGAGAATAAAGTAAAAGTATATTTTAGAGTCTTCTAGTCATACCAATAGTAATTATCAGTAAAGTAACATATTTGGAAATACGTTATTTATGACTTTTTCTAAAAACTCAGGAGAGGCTATAAATTAATTGAAACATATTTGATATGGAAATTATATTTCAGAAAGAGTTTCCCAGACTAGATTAATTCTACGAGGTTTGAATTCATAATAGTAAATCTCAGATACTATTTTTTGGTTAATTGCAAATATTACAACAAAGCTAAGACATGGATTTTGGATCACCTGTAAATAATAATTTATTTAAAAATACATAATGATCGAAACATTTCTGAATACCAATGCAGCACCTGATAATTCTAATGTTATATCAGTATTTTTTAATTCTCCTGGACTCATTAACTTTTCAAGCAGGGCTATTTCTCATAGCTCTTCCCAGAAGACTACTTAAAGTTTCTCCATGATATGAATGTACTATGATTTGATTATGTTTTAGTGTATGAACGAGTTATGTTATTTTGTGCCTCTAGAAAAAAAACATGCATCAGACTTCCCTAACACAACCATGCCAGTGTAACTCCTAAAGTACTCCTAAAAATTCTCTCTGTTCTATCCATTTATTAGAAATATTTATTCCTCTCAAAAGCATTTTCCATTTTTAATAGAACAAATAAAAACATTATTGTACTTTTCAAAGGTATTTCTAACCTTGAAAAGGATATTTCTCTTGTCACTAAAAAGAGTCTTTGAACATTATTCAATATTGTCAGTGTGCCAGCATAGGGAACTTGATATTTCTTTAATTCATTTGATTTGCCTTTACTTTTCTAATGAAATAAATAGCTTTGTGAAAATGAAAGTCATCATAATAAGAACTATTTTCAGAAAAGGAATGGTAATATTTTCAAATACATTAAAGAGATGTATTCATCCACACAGTCATTTAAATAACAAAGTAGCTACTGATTTAGCAGAGCATCTTCTAAAGATTTAATGGCATTTTATATCAAGACATAAAACAAACATCCATCCTGACTTTCTACAGTAGACAAAGGCATGTGTCTTATTGACATACTAAACAGGTGAAAGTGTTTTGGATGAAAATGGCTTAACCTAAACAAAATAGTAAACGCCTCAGTTACATAGCCATTCATCAACTGGACTTGAAATAAAATTTCAAAGAGTCTTTAAATAACTTTGCGTATGAAAATTACAGTAAAAATCTTTAATTAGTTGCATATAAAGAGCTTAAGAATTCATGTAGCTTACAATTAATACATTATATTCTATTTAGTTAATGATAGTCATACATTACTGTTGTCTGATTTGTATGACCCCAGATACTTGTCAGCAATTTCTTCTTATGGCATCATAAAATAGAACCTGGTGTTTGACATTTATGAAATTTACTTAAATTGTGTTTATTGTATTATATGGTTGTGTTCCCTATACACTGTAACATTTAATCATTTTATTATTTTATAATTAATCAGTTTATTCATTCTGACATTTAATGCATTGATAATCAATATTAATCAATCTACACATATTTCATTAAATTTTTAATACATGCAACCAATGTCAAAAAACTAAGGTAAAAGTAGAGTTTAATTGCTATTAGTTTGTAAATAAGAACTGTTGCTTTGATTGCACTAAGAAAACAGACAGAATTGGAATCATAGAAGTCACATCTATAGTTGAATCTATGGCAAAAAAAGATAATAAAAGGATATTAAAGAGTTTATTAGAAATCAGCACCAGAAAAATGTGACTTAGGTAGTGAAGGGATCATATATTTCAGTAAGAGAAAGACATAGGCAAGAAGAGGAATGCCTGGTTCCCAGGGGGTTAAGAGTTCACCTAGTACTCAGCTCAATCCAGGGAATAAAAGATAGTCATAGAGAATATAGTCATTTGGTTTTACATTTTGTTATAAAAATTTCAAACATACACAAAATAAGTAAGAATATAATAAAGACACATATTTCTACTATGCAACTTCAATATTTATTATTTTGCTAATCTTTATTTAAGGCCTCTATTTGTTTGTTTCAAGGGAATTTAAAAGTTAAATCCCAACATTGTATCATTTCCCTTATAAGTATTTCAGTGTGCATCTTTAACTAAAGAAGGACATAATCCCCACAATTTTGTTTATATACATATATCACTATGCTATTGTTACACCAAATACAATTAACAATAATTATTTTCTTTCTTCTCATGAATCTTTTTACTGTTGGTTTGCCCAAATAAGGACCTTGAAAGTTCCACTCATTTGTATGGGTATGGCTAATCTCTTTTATTTTAGAACATTCTCTCCACACTCTTCAATGTCATTGATTTATTAAATAAATTCAGTCATTTGTTGTAGAATTCTATAGGATATTACACATTCTGAATTTTTTTTAATGCCCTCATAGTGTTATTTTTTTTACTCCATATCCTTTGTGTTTTTGTGCTTACATGGTCTTGAAGCTTGACTACTTTTAAGTTTAATTTTTAAAGGATGAATATTTATAGGTGAGTCTATGTATTTCGTATTGCATCCTAGCATGAAGTACATTACGTGGAGTTGCCTCATTAAGGATACAAATACTAATCAGTGGATTCAGATGGTGACAGCCTTAGCTTACCCATTACAAAACTCCCTATCAACATTTCACTGTTGAGTTTAATTTTTAATAATCATTACATAGGTAATTATTTCATTAAGGGATAAAAATGATATTTCTAATTTAACCATTAATTTTATCTTTAATAACTTGAATTATTTTATTAAGAAATTTCCTTCATCAACTTATTTCCTTGAAATAAAAGACTCTCAGAGCCAGGTGCATTGGCTCACGCCTGTAATCCCAGCACTTTGGGAGGCCACCTGAGGTCAGGAGTTCGAGACCAGCCTGGCCAACATGGTGAAACCCTGCCTCAACTAAAAATACAGAAATTAGCTGGGCATGGTGGTGCCTGCCTGTAATCCCTGTACATCGTTTTTTTGTTTCTTTGTTTGTTTTTTGAGACGGATTCTAGCTCTGTTTCCCAGGCTGGCGTGCAGTGGCACTATCTTGGCTCACTGCAACCTCCGCCTCCCAGGTTTAAGCAATTCTCCTGCCTCAGTCTCCCGGGTAGCTGGGATTACAGGCGCCCACCACCATGCCCAGCTAATTTTTGTATTTTTAGTAGAGACAGGGTTTCACTTTGTTGGCCAGGCTGGTCTTGAACTCCTGACATCGTTATCTGCCTGCCTCGGCGTCCCAAGTACCGGGATTACAAACCTGAGCCACCGCACCCGGCCAATAGTGCAGCTCTTTTTGTGCTTCAACTTCAAATACCCCAAAGGAGAGCATTGAGATAAATTAGCTCTGATTCTCAGGCATGAGTGGATAATCACTAGTCCAGGGTGATTGGAAACACAGGGCCAACTTACAACAATTCAGCTTACAACAGTTCTTACAATTTATGTGTAAGAAATCGCTTTAAATGGACTGTGCATGCAATAACATGAATCGCACTCAAAATATCTTGCTGAGTAAACAAGAGAAGTCAGACCAAAAAAAGAAAAAAAGAGTATATACTTTCTATAAACATCTAAAAAATGCAAACTAGTCCACAATAACAAAAAGCAGGTCAGTGGTTGCCTGGAGGTGAGGGAAGAGGTAGAGGAGGAAGAGATTTCAAAGAGGATTAAAGAGATTTTGGTGAGTTATAAACATGTTTATTATCTTGATTTGCTCATTAATTTGATGATTTTACAGGTATATACATATGTTGAAATCTATAATATGGTATATTTTAAATAGTTGAAGTTTATTGCATGTTATTTGTTCCTTAATAAAGCTCTTTTAAAAACAGGTTATTAAAGTGAAGAGCAACTTGAGGACTAGATTGTCTACTTTATTGAATTATAAGGAAGTAGGTTTTATTGAAATGGAAAAAGAAAACGAAAGAATTTGGAGTATAGAGTACTGCATTAGGAAATCAGCTTAAGATTAGGTATTCTAATGGGAGACTATCAGAAACCTTATAGTAATACAGGGCATTTGCCTACCTAAACAATCTAAATATATTGTTTGTACTCTTATGTTAAGCTGTGAAGGTGTACTTGTTATTTATAGTTAAATTTAAGATTTATTAATAGTTAGTAATACTATTGGACATTATGAGCTAATGAGTAACAGAAACTTACAAGCATTGGTGTTGAACCAGAAATTTACAAAATGATTCTGACACTGAACTATGTTTCCAGGACTGGATACCCCCCAGGTTTTTGTAAGGGAAACAGTAATGCAGAAATATAAAGTGATTTTCGTTTATGTAACTCCTACACTCAAAGTGTTCTTGGACACTGTGGGAAATTCAAGGGTATCACACTAGAATAATGGAAGGATTCGATTCAGAACAGAAGTCCCAAAATAAGTTCACTGTGTGCGAAAAACAAAATAAATGTGTGGATGATTAAACACGCAAGAATAGAACACTTAAAAATGATGATAACTGAAGATGTCAGAGGGCCAAACAAGATGGATGGCAGATCCAATGTTAAGTGGTTAGCAGATGTGAGGAAGCAGCAGCAAGATCTTGCAATTGAAACTCATGCAGCTTCAAACAGAAAACTTCATATGGGATTTCAATTTTGTTTGGAACTAACATAGACTCTGATGATAGCAGTTCATGAGTCATTGGTTGTGATAGTTGTGGAGACGGTTTCATAGAATTTGGCATATTCTATAAAGCAAATATAGAAATCTAATAATAGGTATATAGACAGGATATTGAATAAGGACTACTCTTAAGACAACTTAATTAATGTCCTTGAATGTGGGCTTATATCAACAATATAGCATTTTAAAAGTATAGTGCTTTGATGATGTTGAATAGTGAATATTTACTGATCAAGTTTTAAAAAGATTCCTACGTGAATATTATCTAAAATTTGTCTTTCATGTTACTGATGAGGAAACTGAAGTATACTGGGCTAAAGTAACTGGACCAAATCACGTGACTAATTAGTAGTAGCTTCAGGCTTAAAACTTTTTGGTAGGGATTTGTTAATACCAGTGGCTATATCCCAACCTTAGAGCCATACTAGACAAGTAAATAAAGAAGCCCCAGATGCAGCAACGCTTTTGGCCTTCATGAGAGGTGCATTGATTTCAAAATATTAGTACAGTTTATGTACCCCATATACAAGGGCTGTGAGACAGGAGTTCATTGCTAGAATCCTATTAATTCCAATTGCCTTTTAGCGTTTCTTGTAGAGCCCTTATACATGCAGGATTTGATAGCCAGTTAGAAATACTCAACTTCAGATGCAAGGTGTCTCCCTTTTATAATGCTAGAGGAAAAGGCTGACACAGGTTTATATTGTTTTTACAATATTCCCTTGTCTTTTTCTAAAAATCATTTTCAAAGTGTGAAATCAATCCATTTCTAGTTTAGATTAATGCAGAAGCCAAGAAAACTTGAACTCTCCCTTCAATTTTCAACTGAGCAAAATGCCAAAGTGTCTTGTGATTTAACTGACGCTTGCTCAGCCTTCCACTATCATATCTAAAGCTGAGTTGTTCTTACAAGACTTTCTGATGTAGGATATTTAACAAGAGTGGAAATGTAAGGTCTAAAGATGTTGTGGCAGTGAATTCTAACAAGGAGTTTTATTGCTCTCTTTCCTTACCTTTAGTTTCCCCTGACAGTCATTCTTCCTGGTACTAATTTATAGTACTCACCTAAAGTTCCCTCCACTTGAGGTCAAATTGTCTTGAGGATTGAAAAGATTTTATTCTTAGAGAAGGTTGTATTGAAATTGATTTCATTTTAACTTAACGTTTGATTTTGTCATTGCTGGATTTGGGCTTGAATAGACTTTATAAACACTGAACAGATATATTCTTATATAAGACTAACTTGATTTGCTTGATCTTTCAGCAAAGTGTTGGACAGATTGAAACTCCACTCATATGTAATATACTTGAATTTTGAGTTCATTATTGTAGTGCTGTTTCTTAGTAGAAATGGTTAGAAGGTTGCTCTTTTCATCCCAAATATGGTCAGATGCCTGTAATTGAACTCTCTTTTGTTTATTAAATATTTTACCAATAAGTAAAACAATTCAAAATAGCAACTGAACAGGAATGAAATAAATATTTATTTATTTTTTAGTTATGGAATCATTCTTGAAAAACAAAAAGAGTTTTGCCTGTAAATGAAAATTCAGAAATATCAGAGGAAATAACAAAAACCAGTCAGGGAAGCATGGCTTTGCAAGTAAGTGGAGGGGAAGATTTCAGCCTTTATTTTTGCTTTCTCTGGGGTTAAGAGCCTCCATTCATATGAATGAGAAGAGAAATGTTTTTCCACTTAAAAACTCTTGGCTTTTCTAACTTTATTTAAGCACCTAAAACTGAAAAGCTATAATGTTTACACTTTACTTATTCATTGTCTTCAATTTATTTGCAGATTTATAAACTAAGGAGATTATTGTATAGATGTAAGCTCCTGTTAATTCCTCTTTTTCTATATAGTAGGAAGCTATATGGATTTCATGGTCCTATACTGTTAGGTGGGTTTATCTTATTTCTTTATACAAAAGAATATAGAATTGTAATTTATAGTTATTTATCTAAATATATTTGTAACAAAATGTTAACATGTAGAATGTTTTAATATAGACATGTCTTTTTTTTTTCTGTTTCAGATGCTTCAGAAGAATTGTAATATTAGGTACTATCTGCCTTTAAGAAAATAGAAGCAGCTGGTGTGGTGGCTCATGCCTGTAATCCCAGCACTTTGGGAGGCCAAGGTAGGTGGATCACCTGAGGTTAGGAGTTCGAGACCAGCCCGGCCAACATGGTGAAACACCGTCTCTACTAAAACTACAAAAATTAGCTGGGTGTGGTGGCACACGCCTGTAATCCTAGCTACTCAGGAGGCTGAGGCAGGAGAATTACTTGAACCCGGGAGGTGGAGTTGCAGTGACCCGAGATCATGCCACTGCATTCCAGCCTGGGAGACAGAGCGAGACTCTGTCCAAAAAAAAAGAAAAGAAAAGAAAAGAAAATAGAAGCTAGGACCAGTTATGGTGGCTCATGCCTGTAATCCTAGTGGTTTGGGAGGCCAAGGTGGGAGAACGGCTTGAGGCCAGGAATTCCTGATCAGCCTGATCAATGTAGTGAGACTCCATCTCTACAAAAACAAAAACAACAACAACAAAAAAGTAGCTGGTCATGGTAGTGACACGTATCTGTCGTCCTAGCTACTCAGGAGGCTGAAATGGGAGGATTGCTTAAGCCCAGGAGTTTGAGGCTGCAGCTAGCTATGATTGATTGCTCCACTGCAGTCCAGCCTGGTTGACAGAGCTGTAAAGAAAAGAAAAGAAAAGAAAAGAAAAGAAAAGAAAAGAAAAGAAAAGAAAAGAAAAGAAAAGAAAAGAAAAGAAAAGAAAAGAAAAGAAGAAAAGAAAAGAAAAGAGAAGAGAAGAGAAGAGAAGAGAAGAGAAAAGAAAAGAAAGGAAAGGAGAGAAAGAGAAAGAGAAAGAGAAAGGAAATGTAAAAAGTAAAGTTGAGGTTCCTCTTCAAAGACTTTCCTCCCCATCTAATTAGGAATAAATAGTAACTTCTCTTAGAAGCAAAATTTATTCAAAGACTTGTGCTAATATTCTTAAATATCTGCTAGCTGTAATAAAGAAATCAATGTACTTTATGTTCTTACCTCCCACAATTTAGCCTAAATATTTGCCCTAGCATGCTTATACTAGTCCAAGCAAGCATTAGGTCATAGCCTGTTCCTCTTCCTTATTTGAAGGTCTTTTTACCTTTCTCAGCATTCCACAAGTTACTTCCTCCTTCCTTTGTTCTCCTCTGCCTTTGCCTCTTTTAAAAAGTTCTAAGTTGCTAGCCAATCAGGACAAATACAGAATGTGAGGTCTCATTCCAGCCAATAGAAACCGGACACAGCAGTAAGGTAGACACGTCAAGTTATAAATGACCCTGTCTCCTTTGTTCAGTGTACTCTCATGGCAAAACTGCTGGTGAGTGTACCCTTTCTGCAGAAAGTAAAAAAATGGCCTTGTTGAGAAAATTAAATTTATATTCAAGTGCTATATATTTACGGCATCAAAGAGCAAGCATTTCTAACAGGAAGGAAAGAAAGGAGGGAGGGAGGAAGGGAGGGAGAGAGGGAGGGAAAGCTAAATTTTGTGGTTTGTTTAGTCTATGGAAACAATAGCCATCAAAATATATTTTGACAAAACATGGGCACGAATTTTTGATTGGAGAGAAGGGGTTTACAAAAGAGGAAAAGAAAGAAAATGTCCCATTGGCAAGTATTTTCTAAAGATCTGTAAGATGTTAGAAGATGGAACAGAAGGTTGAAGAGCAAAAAGCATTATCAGGTCATTGGGGCTGACCCAAGTAAGTTGCTGAGAGAGAAAGAGAGTCACTTTGCAAATGAATGCTTGGTGGTTGAATCTATCAAAAGACAATGGTGAAGAGCATTATGTGAAGATTCAGGAGGCAAACAGGAACCAAATTATCCTTATAATGACCCCCATAGTCAATATATATAGCCACTCTAATTATTACTCTGAGACCCAGCCTTCATTTGAATGAATTACCAGTTGTTGGTCTGTAAGAAAGACACCTGTCCTTCCAGCAGTAGTGTGTAAAAATTAGGCTTCACCAGAAGCTAGCATCTTCTCTGGTCAAGCAACAAATGCTAAACATATTTTTGCTATACATGTATCTATCATATGTTAAAGAAGAAGAAAAAAAAAAGCCACTCAGTTTGTGGTAACTTTCTGTAGCAGTTCCAGAAAACTAACACAATGGCTTACAAATATTCTCTCTCATGACTTGCTGCATCAAATTAGCTCACTTGGTGGATCTTTCTTGTGGTTTTTTTCATGAGATTACATTCAGATTGGCTGAACTTAATTTTTAAAAATATATATATTTTTATTTTTATGACTACATAACAATTGTACATGTTTATGGGGCACATGTGATATTTTGATACATGCATACAAAGTGTAATGATCAAATCAGGGTAATTTAGATATTAATCACCTCAGACATTTATCATTTCTTTGTGTTAGAAGAATTCTAATTCCTCTCCCGTAGTTATTTTGAAATATACAATATATTATTGTTAACTACAGCCGCTCTGTTGTAACTCCAAACACTAGATCTTATTTTTTCTATTTAATTGTATTTTTTTTTTTACCCATTAACCAACCTCTCTTTATATCCCCTCCTGATATGGTTTGGCTCTGTGTCTCCACCCAAACCTCATGTTGAATTGTAATCCCCAGTGTTGGGGGAGGGACCTGGTGGGAGGTGATTGTATCATGCGGGCAGATTTCCCCTTTGCTGTTCTCGTGGTAGTGAGTTCTCTAGAGATCTGGTTGTTTGAAAGTGTGTAGCATTTCCCCTTTTACACTCTCTATCTCCTGCTGGCCATGTGCTTTCCTCTCCTTCACCTTCTGACATCATTGTAAGTTTCCTGAGGCCTCCACAGGCATGCTTCCTCTATAATCTGCAGAATCTTGAGCCAAAAACCTCTTTTCTTTATAAATTATCCAGTCTCAGGTAGTTCTTTATTGCAATGTGAGAACAGTCTAACATACCTCTTCACTATACTTCTCAGCCTCTGGTAACCATCATTCTATTCTCTCCCTTTATGAAATCAATTTTGTTTTGCTCCTATATATGAGTGAGATCATGCAATATTTGTCTTTCTGAGCCTGACTTATTTACTTAACATAATTTTTCCAGTTCCATCCACATGGTTGCCAATGACAGGATCTCATCTTTTTTCCTGGCTAAATAGTATTCCATTGTGTATATGTACCACATTTTCTTTATCCATTCATCCTTGATAGACCCTTAGATTGATCCTAAATCTTGGTTATTGTGAATAGTCTCCAATAAATATGGGAGAGCAGCTATCTCTGTGATACACTGATTTTCTTTCTTTTGGATATATACCTAGCAGTGGGATTGCTATATCATATAGTAGTTCTATTTTTAGTTTTTTGAAGAATCTTCATACTATTTTCCATAGTGGTTGTACTACTTTACATTCCTCCTAATAGAGTAAGAGCCTTCCCCTTTCTTAGCATCCTTGGGTTGGGCTGTATTTCCAAAGTATTGACTGGACTGAACTCTATGAAAGCTAACAAACATGGCTGATCATTGATACTGGCTATTGGCTGGGAACTCAGCTACAGCTATGGGCTGGACCATCTCCACCTGGCTTGTGCATTTCACAGTATGGCAGCTGAATTCCAGGAGGGAGCACCCTAAGTGGATCCTGAGAGTGAGCATTCCAAGAGGCCTGAAGTGATGCCACAGTACTCCTTATGACTTAGCCTGAGAATTCCCATACACAATTTCTATTGTACTGTATTGGCCAGGAAGATCAGTAGCCGTTCCAACTCAAAGATAAATTAATTAGTCTCTACCTCTCAATAGGAGAAGGAAAAGTATTTGTGGCCAGCTTTAATCTACCATATCAGGTTACACTTTTTAATTTAAAAAATTTCTTAACAACATTGACTAATTTCAAATATGTGAGCTTAGTCAGTTTCTTTAAGAATAGTCCGCACCGTAAAACCTGTTCAAGGAATGTGGCTCCTTGATTTTTTTTTATAGAAATGCTATGTTAAAATGTTCCTTCAAAGCTTAACACATAGTCTTCAGTTCTTCACTTCTGCGAAATTCCTATGTAAACATTAGTACATAGTTGGTGTCCCTCCTCTTTCATTAATCTTTTCCTTTTTCTTTTATCTTAATTTTTATCCCTTTTCTGAATTCTTCTTATTTTATTCTTGTCCATCCACATCCTCAATGTGTGTGTGTGTGCGTGTGTGCGCACACACACATGCTGGTGAGGGGATCCCATATGAGACTGAGAACTGGTTTAGATGTGGCAACTGGGTGAAGGGATGCAATGGTTTCATTGCAACAGCTGGCATCAGCCTTCTGCTTGGTCGTGATTTCTTCTGACTGTGTAAATGCAGTAACACACTATGTGACTCTCCATCTATCTCACCCCTCAGCACAACTTGACCCATTGCTATACACACTTGCAGGTTGACATGCTCTAATTGTCACATTAATCTTATCTCCCATGGATGGAATTACATTGGAATTACACTGATCTTCTGGTTTATAGTTAATGCATTTCCATCTAGTCTCTCCCACTCTGCTTTACCATTAGCCTCTGATATTTGATGGCAGCAGCCCTGCATCACTGCCATCCTCCAAAGGACAGATTCTACTGAGCATCTAGATGCTGGCACCACCATCACTAGTGTGTTTCTCATTTCCTCAGAGAAGGCTGTGTCCTCTAGGAACTCCTAAAGAACATAGTGAAGTAATGGCTTCCCAGGCCAAACAAAATTTCATTCTAATGTTCCCATGACCTAGACTTTTCTAATGAGAAGGAAAAAGAATGTAAAAAGGAAAGGAGAAAAATATAGGGTGATAAAACTATAAAGTGAGTAAAAATATGTAATATATAGGTGTAATCTAAGAGCAACTTTAGATTGGATGATCAGGTAAGGACCTCTGATGAAATATTTAATCTGAGAACAATGAAATAAAAGGGTTAATCATTTAGTCAATAAAAGAAAGTTTTAGGAATAATTTTTTTAATATATTCAGCTCAGATCTCTTTTTGAATCTTCAACTTTTATGTTTCCAATTCCTTCTAAATTTCTCTACAATGACCTCAAAATTAGCCAAACTGAATTGTAGTTATGGAAACAATCTGAATCAATAGTACCTTCTTCCCCCACTTATCACATTGTTAATTGTATTGGTTTCCTCTGTCTATTATAATAAGTTACCACAAATTGGTGGCTGAAACCAAAAGACAATTATTCTGTAATAGTTCTGGAGGTTGAAATCAAGGTATTGTCAGGGTTGGTTCCTTCTGGAGGCTCTGAGGGTGAATCTATTTCAGGCCTCTCTCCTAGTTTCTAGTGGTTGCCAGCAATCCTTGCTATTTTTTGGCTTGTAGCTGCATCATCCCAATCTCTGTCCCCATCTTCACACTTTCCTCTGTGTGTGTCTTTGTAAGTACCCTCTTATTCTTCAAAGTTACCAGCTAATGGATGTAGCGTCCACCCTAATGCAGTATGACATCTTCTTTACTTGCTTACATCTGCAAAGACCCTATTTCTGAATAAGGATACATTCACAAATTTCAGAGATTAGGGCTTGAACATATCTTTTGGGGGCACACAAGTCAGCTCAACACACTTGCAATGTTGTATTCCCAATGTTCATGCTGGTACACCTATCCTAGTCTATCACTCTCCACACCCAATTGCAAAGTACTGTTAATTCAGCATTTTTAGCATTTCTTGAATGTATCTAATTCTGTTCATACCTTGTTATATTACTTTAACTTAGACACTCATTATCTTTAGAGCCTTCTAAAAGGGCCTTAAAATGTGTGTCTCTGCTTCTAATATTGCCTTCTCCCATATATATACACTTTTTTTCTAAGTATGTTTTATAGCCAGAATATTTAAAAATCCAAATATATAAAATTTACTTGTATCATCTCAAACCCTCCCTAAAAACCATTTAAAGACTCTCCTTTGCCATCAGTTAAAAAGTATAAGCAAGTAAAAGCAAATAAGCAAAAACAAAAACAGAAAATTTTTTAAATATGATTTTCAACGTTTTCAGTCCACAATTAAAAACTCTGCTTTTGAATTGAGGAAGAACGTCATTTGACTCCACTTCTTATGCACACTATATTACAGGTTGTTGCTTACTTTCTGAATTTCATTTTTCTAACTTGTTAAATGGGGCTAATATAATTGATTAAGTTGAATTATAGGATTATTATGAAGAAAAAGTGCTAAGCACAATTCCTGGCACATAGTGAAAATCCAATAGACAGAATTACTTTCTGCTATCTTTACAGGTCCATCTCTAACCTTATCTCATACCAATCTCATCTTTCTCTTTGTATGGTTGCTTCTTTTGCAGAATGTCTTGTATTTCCTACATTATGATCTTTACTCTTTTACTTCTTGGCTTTTACACTTGACTTGAAAAGCTGTTTAATTTCCTGCCCTTAACATGTTAATTTCTTCATGCATTTTTTAATCCTGTTGGATACAGACATCTGCTATATCAGGAACCTGAGTTTGACTTTTTAGTCTTAATTCAGGTCTCCCCTTTGTGCGCACTCCTCTCCCAGCATTTATCAATGTCAAGTGCAGCTATCATTCTCTATTTCTTTATGCTTCAATGTGCTATCAGCTATTTGTGAGAAGGGACCACATTTTATGTCTCGTTATTGCCAGAACTGATCCTAGTGCTCCATGTCTTGGAATGTATGAAAAAAAAATGAAAGAAAGTTTTTTTGTGAGATTATCTATCCCTATCCCTGGGATGAGAATAAATTTATTTATTTAGAATTACACGCCAGGAGAGCACTGATATCATCTATTGAGTTTCTTTTTTTCTTTTTTTTTCTGTATCTCCAATTTTAAAATAGGAGCTGACTAGTCATAGAAAATAGTGAATGTTCAGTAAATACTTGTTGATTTTTTGAATGGGTGAAATAACTGATGCACTATTTATTGGCAAAAATTGAAAGGTATTTACCAAAAATTTCATTCTGGCTCTAAACAGTAAGCAAGCATAGTCCAAACCCAGGAAGAAAGATGAATAATTATTTTGACAAATAAGGTCTATTACCTGGCATAATGTACAAACACTTGTTTGGCAGCCAGGAGACCTGGCATCTAATCTCTCTAAGTGGCTGTATAGTTAAACCCTTGGAATAAGTTAATTCATTTTTGCTAGGCCTCAGTTTTCTCTACTGAGAAGTGATGGCCTTGGATTATCATCTCTAAGGTCTTTTCTATGTCTATTTTTTTTTTAAAGTTTTAGATAAGCAAGTCATCTGTAGGTAATCTAAGACTCTATGGCATTTGCTGTGAGGGGAATTGACCTGTATAGCCCTTGTATTAAAAATAAATCTTGGCCAGGTGCAGTGGCTCATGCCTGTAATCCCAGCACTTTTGGAGGCCCAGGCAGGTGAGTCATCTGAGGTCAGGAGTTCGAGACCAGCCTGGCCAACATGGTGAAACCCCGTCTCTACTAAGAATGCAAAAATTAGCCAGGTGTGGTGGTATGTGCCTATAGTCCCAGCAACTCGGGTGGCTGAGGCAGGAGAATCGCTTGAACCTGGGAGGTAGAGGGTGCAGTGAGCCGAGATCGCTCCACTGTACTCCAGCCTGGCGACAGGGTGAGGCTCCGTCTCAAAAAATAATAATAATAATTAAAAATGAATAAATAAATAAATAAATCTTGCCCTGCCAATTTTCAATACAAATACTCAGCTTCCTAATTAGGGAGATATGTTTCAACTGGAATGATAGAGTCTGGCACATTTCCTTATTGTTTGTTCTTTAACTTAATATAAATGTACAGTACTAGATTAACTTCTTGTAGTTAAAAATGAAAACCAAATATACCAGTAAAAATGGTGTTATTATTTAAAATATTAACATTTCAACACCGGAAGAGATGTGAAGGCAATTATTTGAATCCTTACCTTTTGCAGATAGCAGAATGGAAGCATAGAGGCTATACCTGACTGTTCAAAGTAACTGTAGGGTTGTTCAAGGGCAGCCAAGTGAGAATCCAGTCCTTCTAATTATTTCAGGGGTGTTCTTTCTAGTCCACTAGGCTTTTCTTATCTTCAGCACATTAATTGATAATCTGACTTAAGTGAGAAAATAGAAGCAATCGGAATCAAACACCCACAAGCACCTAGTACATCTACCCAATTACCAGCATCTGTAATGGGATGTTTTCTGCCTTCACTCCTGTTATGATGGATGGACTCTCCATGCCACACCAAGGTCAACTCCTTCACTTGTGCATAAGATCCTGTTCCCTCCAGCCTAATCAAGGATATTATTTCAGCTTTTCTGCCCTCTTCACACTGTGGAAGATCATTCCCATTAGCAGACAAACATGCTGTTATTTTTCTCATTTAAAAACAACTTATTTTGGAGGAGGCGGCCGCTGAGGAAATTTAGAAAACAATAAAATAAAAACAACTTATTTTGACCTCACTGCTTTATATGCCCTTTAATACTCTTTGTAACTCCTTTACAGTAAAATTTCTTTAAAAAGTTGTCTCCAAATTCCTCTGCCTTCAATTTCTTTTCTTCTTTGCTCACTTAAATTTACCCCAATCAAAATGAAATCGTTGCTAAGGGAAACATTGTTCTCTACATTGAAATCCAGTGGTCAATTTCAGTTCTTATCTTACTTGACCTGTGCTATGATTTAAATGTGTCCCCTCCAAAACTCATGTTGAAACTTAATCCCTAGCATGGGGTATTAAGAGGTGGAGCCTTTTAAGAAGTGATTAAGTCATGAGGGCTCCTCATGGATTACTGCCCTATAAAAAAGCTGGAGGGAACTAGCTTAGGCCTTTTTTTATTTTTGTATTATTATTATTATTATTATTATTATTATTATTATTGAGACAGAGTCTCACTCTTGTCACCCAGGCTGGAATGCAGTGGTGTGATCTGGGTTCACTGCAACCAGTCTCCCGGGTCCAAGCAATTCTCCTGCCTCTGCCTACTGAGTAGCTGGGATTACAGGCGCCTGCCACCATGCCCAGCTACCTTTTTTTGTAGAGATGGGGTTTCACCATGTTGGCCAGGCTGGTCTCAAACTCCTGATCTCAGATGATCTGCCCACCTTGGCCTCCCAAAGTGCTGGGATTACAGGCATGAGCCATGGCGCCCAGCAACTTAGGCCGTTTTTTACCATTCACTCTTCTGCAGGTGAGGACACAGCAAGAAGGCTCCCATCAGACACTGATTGCTGGTCCCTTGACCTTGGTCTTAGCCTCTGGAACTATGAGAAAATAAATTTCTGTTATTCATAAATTATCCAGTCTGATATTTTTGTTTTATTTATAGTAGCACAAATGGGCTAAAACAACCTATCAACAGCATTTGGCAGAGCATAACACGTTCTCTCATTTGAAATATATTTTACTTGCACATATGATATCATATTCTCATGATTTTATTCCTGCCTTACTGAGCATTACTTCTCAGAATCCTTTGCTATGTTTTGCTCATATTCCCAGACTCTGATTATTGGTACCACAATGTCCAGTTCTCAATCTTTTATCTTTTACTTTATAAATTCATTTCCTTGGTTATCTCATCTAGTCTCATGGCTTTAAATACCATTAATTTGCTGACCAGAGATACAGACCAGACAAGACGATTACATCTACAACTCATAGATACCTTCAGGCTCATATATGTAACTGTCTACCTATCCTCTTAAATATCTCATAAGTATATCCAAAATTGAAGTCCTGCTTTCTCTCCATGTCACATCTGCTCCATATATATTATGTTTCCTTTCGCTAATTGGTTACTTCATCCTTCCAGTTGCTTAGGTCACAACCTTTGAAATCATTCTTAATTTCCATTTTCCTCTTACACCCCACATTCCTTCAAGTCAAAGCTTTACTGGGTTTTCATTATAAATATATCCATAATGTAACTACTTCTTATCACATTCATAGTTACCATTGTGTTCTGACTCACCATTGTCCTTCACCTTAATTATTACAGTAGCCTCCAAACCAGCCTCCCTTATTTACCCCTGAAGTCTATCTTTGACCAAGCAGAATGATCCTTAATCATATCTTGTGACACCTTCATTCACACCCTACAACAGTTTTTCTTTTTACTTAGAAGAAAAGCCAAAGTCCTTTCAAGGTGTTGTGAGGTCTTACTCAATCTGCTGCCCCACCTCCTCCATATCCCTTTGATACAGTTTGGTTTTGTGTCCCCACCCAAATCTCGAATTGCAATCCTCATAGGTCAAGGAAGGGGCCTGGTGGGAGGTGATTGGATTATGGGGGCAGTTTCCCCCATGGGTGCTCTCATGATAGTGAATGAGTTCTCACAAGATCTGATGATTTTAAAAAGTGTTTGGCAGTTCCCCTCTGTGTTCTTCTCTCTTGCTTACTGCCAAGTAAGACATACCTGGCTTCCCCTTTGCCTTCTGCCGTGATTGTAAGTTTCCTGAGGCCTTCCCAGCCATGTGGAACTGTGAGTCAATTAAATCTCCCTTCTTTATAAATTATCCAGTCTCAGGTACTGTCTTTATAGCAGTGTGAAAATGTACTAATACACCCTGTATCTTCTGTGAATGCACTTCCTTATCTTCTTGCCCTTACTCACTCTGTGCCAGCCCTACTGTGCTACCTGCTATTCTTAGAACACTAAGAGCATTCTAAACATGCTTCTGCCTCAGAGACTTTGTATTTACATTCTCTCTTTCTGGAATGTTCTTCTATTATCTGGCATAGCTTGCTCAATTAACTCAAGTATCACCTTCTCAGATAGATAGGGTTTCCTTAACAATCCCACTTAAAATTTTGCCCCCCTCTTAGAACTCCTCCCTGTTTTCTGCTATATTTTTCTGTGTTACACTTACCACTTCCCAATATAAAAATATCATTTATGAAATAGCATATTTATAAATAATTTATAATGTAATGTATAATATAATTAACTCTTGAATTTTTAAACTTTCTTCTTTCACCAAATGTCTCTGAGTTTCCCAGAAGGAGGGCTATATCTTTGTCTTTACCTTTAGGCCCTCAGTTCATAAAACAAAGATTAATGCATAGTAGGTGCTTGCACTAGTAGGATTCTATAATATCCCCTATAATTTCCAACCCCTGATGTACACACATCTTATCCCAGTTATTCAATCAAAGAATAATCTAAGTACTGATGTGAAAGGACTTTGCAGATGTAAATTAAGGTCACAAATCACTTGCAATTAGTCAAGATGATCCGGGTTGGCCTGATCTAATCACATGACAAGTCAGAGACACAGGAAGTCAGAGAAATTTAAAACATGAGGGATTTGACATGAGGGGCTCTGTCTGTTGTTGGCTTGGAGATGGTTGGGGCCATGTGACAAGGAATGGGAGCGGCTTCTAGGAGCTGAGAGAGACCCTTGGGTGACAGCCAGCCAGGAAATGAAGAACTTAATCCTACAACAGGAAGGAACTGAATTCTACCAATTTTGATAAGAATCTTCCAAATACTTCCCTGGAGCCGGAGAAGTCAGCCAGGTTGACACTTTGATTTCAGCCTCTGAAACCCTGAGCTGAGAATCCAGGTAGACTTTGCCTGGACTTCTGATCTAGAGAACTGTGAGCTAATGGCATTATTTTAAGCCACTGTGATTGTGGTAATTTGTTAAATAGCAACAGAAAACTAATACAGAAGTCGGTAAATATGTGTTGAATTAATAACATTATATTTTATCACTGCAATCCTTCCAAAATAATTGGTATTTTTATTATAACATAAATGCTGATTTTATTTTAAATAAAAGAATCAATTTCTCTCCTGAAGCATGTCTTCTTTATTACAGATTAAATGTATGGTATTATTTTTCAATTTCACAGCATTAAAAAAGTTATTTGATAATATTAGAGATCCATTCAACATTATGTATCTTAGTTTCTCTGGATAAAATTATGTTTACCTCTACATTTTAATTAATTAAAGATTTTTTTTTACCTATCCCCGGTGATAGGTAAGATTTAAAAATTTTATTTTATTTTTTGAGACAGAGTCTCACTCTATCGCCCAGGCTGGAGTGCAATGGCGTGATCTCGGCTCACTGCAAGCTCTGCCTCCCAGGTTCATGCCATTCTCCTGCCTCAGCCTCCCGAGTAGCTGGGACTGCAGGCGCCTGCCACCACGCCCAGCTAATTTTTTTTTTTTTTTTGTATTTTTAGTAGAGATGGGGTTTCACTGTGTTAGTCAGGATGGTCTCGATCTCCCGACCTCGTGATCCACCCTCCTCAGCCTCCCAAAGTGCTGGGATTACAGGCGTGAGCCACCGTGCCCAGCCGTTAAGATTAAAATTTTTACTAGTCAATGATATATTTCAGTCTTAAAAATCTAACTTACCACTTTGGGAGGTCAAGGCAGGCAGATAACTTGAAGCCAGGAGTTCGAGACCAGCCTGGCCAATATGGTAAAACCCTGTCTCTACTAAAAATAGAAAAATTAGCCAGGCATGGTGGTGCACGTCTGTAATCCCAGCTACTTGGGGGCTGAGGCACAAGAATCGCTTGAATCTGGGAGGCAGAAATTGCAGTGAGCCAAGATTGTGCCACTGCACTCCAGCCTAGGCGACAGAGCAAGACTGTCAAAAAACAAACAAAACAAAACAAACAAACAAAAACAAAAAACTAACTTACAGAAAGATGAGCTTAGAGTTTATCCTTTTCCACAATCCTGAGGTCAAATGTATTCTCTCTCTCTCTCTTTTTCCCACACTGCTAGATACTAATGACAGCTGTTCCATTTTTACTTTGGGTGATCACAATTTGAAAATGATTGAGCATGGCAAATTAGAGAGCATATGCATAATAGGTTATCACCTAGCACCTACTTTCCAAGTTCTCATCTATTCTGCACAGCCTCACTAACAAGCAAGTGTTACATTTTAATCACACTTTCTAACATAAGCTTATTCTTTTCCTGTCGAAAAGAAAATTAGATCATCCCATCTGCATACCCTATCATAAGGACTAAGTGATATCAAACTGTTTGATATTAATTTGATGTGAAATAATATAAAATTTGGCATAAAAAGCATCAATCTTTGGTATTGGAAGAAAAATTTTCACAAAATCCAAAATAAATGTTGGCTTATTACCCATTTTTAGAAATGTTTAATGTTAACAGCTAAATATAAAGATCAATTAGAGAATAGACTTTAAATGTTCATAACATATGAAAAGTCCAAGATAAAATGTAATATGTGGTAGCTAAATTTTGGTATTCATCGTTTTCCAGAGAGTGAAAATTACATAACCATTTGTTCAATTTTTCTTTTGGTTGTCATCTGTTTGTAAATATATACATATTTAACTAAATATATATAGAATGCTATACATATATTTGACATTTTATATATACACATATAATTTTAGTAATTTAAAAAATGGAAAGTATTCATGTTGGAGTTGTCTTGCTGAGACAGGCAGTGTGAATTACATTTTTTAAATAAATTGATAATACTCTTTTATTTAGCTAATATTTCTGATAAACTATTGTTCATAGTTCTCTTGGTTGACTGCCTCTGAGAAGAATGTAAATATTTACTCTGGATAACTATTACTACTTAGTGGGAAAAATTTTTATTTCTTCACATTAAAAAAGTAGCAAACCTGCAGAACATGCAGCTAAAGGGAGTCAGCATTTTTTTCCTCAGTCTTGATTAAAAATAAAAATAGCAGGAGGCTCAATTCAAAGAATATTGTTTGATTGCACTGTAACCTAATGTGATTTTTACCTGAAAATAGGGTAAATGTTACGAAAAGTGGAAAAATGAAAGGTCAGAGTTCTTGCTGTTTACTGAAGCAGTAAGTTGTGTTAAGACATAAATTAATTAATGTGCTTCATTCCTGACTTCCTTGTATTGTTTTTCTTCTTTAATTTTCTTATTAAAGAAGAATGCTTATTTATAAGAGAGGAATGCTTATTTCCTCTCTTATGTGGCCTTTCTCCATGTCGCTTAGTAAATTATTTCAAATCTTTTTGGAAGAGGTAAAAGAAAACAGTCTTTACTCTTTGTTTTACTCCTTTTTTACTCTTACGTTAAGAGTAAAAGAGGAGATATGTTTATTATCAAGTCTAATATATCTACAGATTTTAAACGTTTAACTTATTTATTTCTTTTCTCCATTGAGTTGCTGTTGATGAGCTATCCATCTGTAAAACAGATTGAAAATACTCAGCAACATTTAGTATAAGGAAAAAGTTGTATTGGCTCTTTAAAATCAGGCTTTTGGAGAAGGTGCTTTTTTGTTTGCTTGTTTTTGCATTTTGCCAATAACTGAAAAACTTCAAAAAAATTGCCATAAAAATACTCCCAACACTATTATAAACATTTGAATTATAAAAACTAAACATATTTGAATAAAGTGTGAAATTAATGCCATAAACATACAGTTACCACGTTTAAAGTATTAAATTACACTGAATAAACATTTAGGTAATGGGACTCTTTGAGTCTCAGTTTCTCCATTTGTAAAATAAAGGGGTTGGAAGGAATTATATTGGCCTTATCATATTCTCAAATTCCATGACTCTGTTAATCAGTTTATTCTTCGTTTTAATATGCTGAAAAGTTAAGTTTTTTTAAAACTCATTCTCTACAGCTTTAAGAAATTCTTCAGATTAATGTAAATTTGTTATAGCATCCTTTCTAGAGAAATAAAAATAAAACTAACAGGCATAATTCTGTAGAATAAAATCTGAGTTGCATTTGTGGCTATGCTAAATGCTGTTTTGAATATGCCTACAGCCAATAAGCTGGGACAGTTTAGCTGAATTTATTGAAAACAGAAATTGCATACAGTTAGGAGAGCACATACAGAGGAAATTCTATTAGTCTGTTGAGATGAAACAAGCTTCAAGAGATGAAAACAACGTATGGGCTAAGGAAGCCTTGAGGCTGAGGAAGTAGAGATGAGTTTTTAAAGGAAAGGGGTATTTGGAAAGCTAAATAAGTCTGAATAGCATGGGGACGTAACCTATAACCTATTTTTGTTGTTGTTGTTGTTTATTTTACTTTAAGTTCCGGGATACATGTTCAGAACACGCAGATTTGTATAAAAACGCTAGAAGAAAACCTAGGCAATACCATTCAGGACATAGGCATGAGCAAAGACTTCACGATGCAAATGCCAAAAGCAATTGCAACACAATCCAAAATTGACAAATGGAATCTAATTAAACTAAAGAGTTTCTGCACAGCAAAAGAAACTATCATCAGAGTGAACAGGCATCCTACAGAATGGGAGAAAATTTTTGCAATCTACCCATCTGACAAGGGTCTAATATACAGAGTCTACAAAAAACTTAAACAAATTTACAAGAAAAAAAACAAAAAAATATCAAAAAGTGGGCAAAGGTTAAGAACAGACACTTCTCAAAAGAAGACATTTATGCGGCCAACAAACATTTGAAAAAGAGCTCAATATCACTGATCATTAGGGAAATGCAAATCAAAACCACAATGAGATACTATCTCATGCCAGTCAGAATGGCAATTATTAAAAAGTCAAGAAACAATAGATCCTGGCGAGGCTGTGGAGAAATAGGAATGGTTTTACACTGTTGGTGGAAATGTAAATTAGTTCAACCATTGCGGAAGACGGTGTGGCAATTCCTCAAGGATTTAGAACAAGACTTCTTTCCACTGAAAGTGAAAACCTGCTTATAGGCTCCTCACTAGGCAAATTTCAGGGTCAGAAATTCCTAGGGCGCTCTCTTGTTGGTGTAGTATACATCTTGTCTCAGAAGTTTTATTTACAGTGAATGAGTATTTCCATAATTTAATGTCTTTGATTATTAACAAAAGGAATCCTTCACATATGAAGAAAACAATGACTTTTCCATAGAAAGTTATACAAGGATTGGCTTATTTCATCAAAACAAACATTACAGCTTCTTTTTTTTCTTCAAC
Source organism: Homo sapiens (assembly GCF_000001405.40). Classification (NCBI taxonomy): domain Eukaryota; kingdom Metazoa; phylum Chordata; class Mammalia; order Primates; family Hominidae; genus Homo; species Homo sapiens. The sequence goes on from NC_000005.10 coordinate 84,554,579, forward strand.
TTTTATTTTAAGTTCAGGAGTACATGTGCTGGATGTGCAGGTTTGTTACGTAGGTAAACAGGTGTCGTGGTGGCTTGCTGCACAGATCAACCCATCACCTAGGTATTAAGCCCAGCATCCCTCAGCTATTCTTCTGAGGCTCTTCCTCCCCCATCCCAACCCCTGAGAGATCCCAATGTGTGTTGTTCCCCTCATGTGTCCATGTGTTCTCATCATTCAGCTCCCACTTATAAATGAGAACATGTGGTGTTTGCTTTTTCTGTTCCTGCAGTAGTTTGCTGAGGATAACAGCTTCTAGCTCTGTCCATGTCCCTGCAAAGGATATGATCTTATTCTTTTTAATGGCTGCATAGTATTTCATGGTGTGTATGTACCACATTTTCTTTATCCAGTCTATCATCGATGGGCATTTGGGTTGATTTCATGTATTTGCCATTGTGAACAGAGCTGCAATGAACAAATGTGTGCATGTATCTTTATAATAGAATAACTTATATTCTTTTGGGTATATATCCACTGATGGGATTGCTGGGTCAAATGGTATTTCTGCCTCTAGATAGTTGAGGAATTGCCACATTGTCTTCCACAATGGTTGAACTAATTTACGCTCTCACCAAAATGGAAAAGTGTTCCTTTTGCACTGCAACCTTGCCAGCATCTGTTGTTTCTTGACTTCATAATAATTTTCATTCTGACTGGCATGAGATGATATCTCTTTGTGGTTTTGATTTGCATTTTTCTGATGATCAGTGATATTGAGCTTTTTTAATACACTTGTTGTCTGCATAAGCGTCTTCTTTTGAGAAGTGTCTGTTCATGTCCTTTGACCAATTTTTAGTGTTTTTTTCTTGTAAAGTTGTTACATTTCTTGTAGATCTTGCATATTAGATCTTTGTCAGATGGACAGAGATTGCAAAATTTTTCTCTCATTCTGTAGATTGTGTGTTCAAACTGATGATAGTTTCGTTTGCTGTGCAGAGGCTCTTTAGCTTAATTAGATTCCATTTGTCAATTTTTGCTTTTGTTGCAATTGCTTTGGGTGTCTTTGTCATAAAATTTTTGCCCATGTTTATGTACTGAATGGTGTAGCCTAGGTTGTCTTCCAGGGTTTTACAGTTTTTGGCTTTACATTTATGTCTTTAATCCATCTTGAGTTAATTTTTGTATAAGGTGTAAGGAATGGGTCCCATTTCAATTTTCTGTATATGGCTAGCCGGTTCTGCCAGCACCATTTATTGAACAGGGAATCCTTTCTCCATTGCGTGTTTTTATCACGCTTGTCAAAGATTAGATGGCTGCAGGTGTGTGGTCTTATTTCTGAGCTCTCTATTCTGTTCCATTGTCGATGTGTCTGTTTTTGTACCAGTACCATGCTTTTTTGGTTGCCGTAGCCTTGTAGTATAATTTGAAGTCAAGTAGCATGATGCCTCCAGCTTTGTTCTTTTTGCTTAGGATGGTCTTGGCTATTCGGGCTCTGTTTTTGTTTCATATGAATTTTAAGGTAGCTTTTCTATTACTTTGGAGAATGTCAATAGTAGTTTAATGGGAATAGCAATCAATGTATAAACTAATTTGGGAAGTATGGCCATTTTCATGATATTGATTCTTCCTATTAGCGTGAAATGTTTTTCCACTTGTTTGTGTCCTCTCTGATCTCCTTGAGCAGTGGTTTACAGTTCTTCTCAAAGAGATCCTTCACTTTCCTTGTTAGCTGTATTCCTAGGTATTTTATTCTTTTGCAGCAGTTATGAAAGGGAGTTCATTCATGATTTGGCTCTCTGCTTGCCTGTTGTTGGTGTATAGGAATGCTAGTGACCTTTGCACATTGATTTTGTATCCTGGGACTTTGCTGAAGTTATCAGTTTAAAAAGCTTTTGGGCTGAGACAATGGGGTTTTCTAGAAATAAAATTATGTCATCTGCAAACAAAGATAATTAGACTTTCTCCCTGCCTATTTGAATACCCTTTATTTCTTTCTGTTTCTGATTGCCCTGGCCAGAATGCTCAGAACTTCCAATGCTATGTTGAATAGGAGTGATGAGAGAGAGCATCCTTGTCTTGTGCTGGTTTTCAAGAAGAATGCATCTAGATTTTGCCCATTCAGTATGATACTGGCTGTGGGTTTGTCATATATGACTAATATTTTGAGGTAAGTTCCTTCGATACCTAGTTTACTGAGAGTTGTTAACATGAAGGGATGTTGAATTTTATCGAAGGCTTTTTCTGCATCTATTGAGATAATCATGTGGTTTCTGTCTTTAGCTCTCAAACGTAACAGCTTTTAGGGTGTTTTTCAGAATGCTAAGCTGCAGTATTTGGGAAAAATAAGAGGTAGGACTTTCAAGAGTTTATTTTTAGAACATTAGCAAACAGTGAAGTGTTGTTGAGTTTGAAATTTGTATAAAATTTCTTTTATTGATTTACTATACTGAAAATTCTGCTAATATGTCATTTCTTCTCAAGAAAATTTCCTGGCAATGCCCTTGCCTCTGGCAGAAGCTACCATCCTCCAAGTCTGATCCTATCCATATCCTCTATTGGCACTTACTTCTCAGAAGTATAATTACTTTTAACATGTCATATCCATTATGAGACTGTGTGTTATTGGAGAGGAAGTGAACATATCTTATTCATATATCTGTCTTCGTTGACTGAGCCTTAGGCTAGTTGCATTAAACGTACTTAATAGTTAATGAGTAAATGAATGATTACCAATACAAGAAAAGCATTTGTCATCCCAACTATGAGTAACACTTATGCCAAATTATATCTAAGAGCTTCGTCTCATAGCATATTCTGTCTGAATTTTTTTTTTTACTAAAAATGTATTTGGTTTGAGATAGAATTCTAGTAAGTCCCAGAAACCTTGAATGCTTATCAAAACTCCATGAAATCTTTAGAGATTTGCTTATCACCTAATTGATATGTCATACATCTAAAATCTTCTCCAATCTTTTATTTATTGCTTAATACATATAAAGATAGCAGTGTAAATCTCAAAAGCTGAATATATTATGGATTTCTGAAATACTTATTTCTAATTGCATGCTTTAATTTTGCCTTGTGGTTCACTTAAAAATTAACAAACACATCTTCAGAATATCTAGAAAGGCCCATAGCATTTAAATTCTTAATATTAACTATAAGAAACTGAAATTTTAGATAATATAATTTTAAGGTCTGTCAACTGATTATGTTAATTTTTTTCCCTAAAATGACTGGAATACATTCAGGTGTGAAAGAGTATTAATGTTTATAAAACTAAAAATCTAAGAATTTGAAACCAGGCTGTTAGTTTATGTAAATTTATAGCTAAGGTTATATGAAAGGTCAGCCATGCATTAATGTGCCTTGGCAGATGTTCCTGGAAACTATGTGATTCTTCATCCCTGACGAAATTTTATTTATTATGAATTGTATTTATTATGACAGCCAAAGAAAGATTCTTGAGAAAATCAGAAACTGTAATAGAATAAGAATAGATAATATAATGATGGCATTCCGGCACACTGGGATCCGCAGCCATATTGGCAGATCCTGGTTTTACCATAGAGTAGTTAAGTAGTTATTTGACTCTCTGGGACTCAGTATCTTTATGTGCAAAACTAAGGCTCAGAATTTGCAAGATTGTTTTGAACATTGAATGATCGGAACATAGATAACCCTCAATAAATGTTGGGTGTTATTATTACTTTGCTGACTTGCTTTCTTTTTGCTTTTCTGTCTCTTCCACTTTGCCAGTTCTGCCTCCTATTTCCTTTTATTCTTATTTCATCTTTTTTTTTCTAATTCCTTGGGTTTGATGATGAAACCATTATTCACAACCACACCCTTCCAAAACTAGAATTTGGGGCTAAATATTCACTCCAGATAAGATACAAAACTAAAAAAGAGACATAATCTTCTATTTCTTTGTCAATTCCCTAATCTTACAAGATCTCTCTCTCTCTCCCCCGTGACCAACCTTCATTTCCTCTCTCCCTCTCAACCTACTTTAATTGGGAAAAAAGGTAGATACACGAAAGGACAAAAATTATTTATGTAATGTACATTTATTTATTCATTCCACAGTGTACAGTATACATATTTCAAAACATGTTGCACATAATACATATATAATTTTTATTTTTAATTAAAATAGAATAGTAAAAATATGCAGATACAACTAAAAATAAACTAATGAAAATTTCAAAAAATATACCATGCATATCAGAAAATGAACTGAAAACTTTTTCAATCTTTTGATTAAAAGATGTGTTGAAAGAAAACTTCGAGGAGCTTCAGATTTGTCTTCAACTTTTAACATATTTATATTACAAGAGAAAATGGCCACGCCAATGCCAAAAAAGAAGATAGGCTCAATTAAAAATAAATGAATTCATAGATTGAAGGTTCTGGCAATGAAGAAAGCCTTGATTTGGGGGAAGTGGCATCACCAATCAGAATTTTAACCTTGGCATTTTAGCTCTTCTCAGTCCAGTCTTTAAGTGCTTCTAGAGTGCTTCATTATCCAAATCATGGTCATGCCTGATGCAGAGAGCAATTTATTCTCAGTCTGTTTTTCTCTGTGCTTCTGCTACAGGGCTGGCTGGACCAGAGAGGTGTTTCTAAACTGTGTCTTTCTTCTCTTTTCTGTATCACAGAAATTGTGTTGGCAGCCTCTAAAAGTCATGAGAAGCCAATCAAAACCTCATGGGGTGGGGTAATGATAATGTTACAGAATCACTATGTCAACTGAATTTGAAACATTTTATTAGGCTTTTGGGATGCTTGTTGTCAGTAAACTTCAGTCAGATGAGAACACTAATTTTTACTGATCTTCTCTAATCGGAATTACATCTTGGAAAAATGCTTTGCTAATCTTCATTATTTGAAGGGATACTATAAAACTTTCCATTGACATAAAACCTTGATTTCCTGTATTCATTGTAACCTAGTTGGTGGATGAGAGTCTACTTATCGTTTGACATTTTGGAGAAAAAATTTTGTTGTCTAACCATCTCATTACTAGGAAAGTGGGAAAGATGAAAACTTAAGCTGTGATAAACAAATATTGCTAAATGATACACTTTTATAAACATTTGTTAAGAGAATTACAGGTGGTGGGGGAAGACAGTGAATACCTTAAAGAGAGAATGTAGAGAGCCTTTCAAATGTTGACTTTGTGAAAGTCAGCAATCTGAGAAACACCAGACACTTTAACCTGCTCTGTTATTTTTAACCACTTTTAGGACACTATAATTGTTCATGTGACAAAATATACAAAGTGGAAAAATAAAAAACACCCTTGACCTTCCAAACTTTTCATTGTGTATTTGAGGTACAAAGGTCACCTGCAGTTTCTTTAGGCTTACAGGTAATTCTTGAAAAATTTAAAAGGTATCAGTGTTGAACATATGTAAGAGTTCATTTTTTTAATTGAATTTACTATGGTACAGTAAAACTTTTATTCCTCCAGAATCCTGAAAGAAAGCTGAAGTCCTCATAGCAAAGACTTTTAGAGGTAAACATTTGGGCTTCTGAGGTGAATACAATCGTAATCCAAAACTGTATATTTATAGGGGGAAGAGGATGAAAAGGTTGAGTATCTGTATTATGTATTTATGACCATGTTTTATCCTGACCTCATTTCTGTGAGGTACTTGAGAACAGAGAAATGGGGTAGGTAATTTATCGAAGATAATAAGCCTAAGAAACTATGAGACAGAATCTGAGAAGACTGGAAAGTGAATAAGGGGGCTGTGCAAGAGAAGTTCAGCAAGGTCATTCAAAGCCATGAGTGTTCTCATCAGAGAGAGTAATGCAGAAGTCCCCAAACAGAAAGATTGTCCTTAATAAGTCAGTCTGCATTTTCAGGTCTTCGAGGCAAAGCATTTTCTCTATATATGCTTTGGAATTTGTCATCAAAATGTTTTGAAAGTAAAAATAAGATTATTTTTCTTGCGAGGGGCCATAGCAGTAAGACATTTTTATTGTGTTCCAATGGACATGAGGCACAGGAAGCCCAATGCCCTCCAAGCACTGGCATCATAGCCCCTGCCCAACTGTATCACACCATGCTAGGTAGGGACCACCAATTAGAACTCTCCCACTTCCAGGGTGGCTGAGATAAGCACTCCATTTTGGCCTGCTTTCCCCGTGTTCCCAGCCTCGACTGGTCTCCAGCCTTAGGAGAACCTGTTCAACTTCAGCCCTTGGCAGTTCCACAGAGTTGTCCCCAACCTACAGCACCAGAACCCGTACTCACAACCAGTCTCCACCTCTGCTCCAGAGTCTGTGGGCAGCACTTCCAGTGGAGAAGCCATGGGGTGCCCAGTCACTGAAGGAGGTGAAGAAATAGATTTATGTATTGCCGAGTATAGATGGCAACTAGTTCATTCTTTCATCCAACAAACAGCAGTTCTTCGTCTTTTTCAGTAGCTCTATAATTTTTAGCAAATATTGTTTCCAGTGGGGCTTTCCCTTGTGTCCAACCAAATTCTGTTTCGTGAAAACTCATTGCAAAATTCTTATTATCTATACTTTATGAAAACTGGGAACACTTGCTTAGTGAGTTTTTCCAACCCTTTCATAGACAATGCATACGGAAGATAATTCAATTGTTCTTTAGTTATTATGCATCTGTAACCAGTCTTAAAATTCTACTACTTTAAATTTTACTCAATGAAGATTTTTAAACATCCAGTAATTCACATTATTTTCTCCTTTCCAATAGTATAAATTTAATAATTTATATATTGATTTAAGTGTTCAAATAGCCTTATATAATTATTATTTAATATATTTATAATATATATTTATATTAATATTTATAACTCCAAATACTTCACCCTCATTTTGCTGGAAATCATAAGTAATTCCACTTTTTAAAATTTATCTTCTTTAATCTTAAAATGGTACTACCATTTATTTTACTCTGCAGAAAGTCAATCAGTTCTGGAAAGGCCATTCTCTAAAGTCTACTGCTCTGTGGTAGCAGTGCTGCGTAGGTACTACAAATGTTGTCGTTCTGTTCAGTTTGATCATGTTATTAATAGTAGTGGCAAATCCACATGGGTCTGCAGCAACCTCAATTCTTGACTCCTCAGAAGAAAGAGTTTGACTGAGGGGCCTAAGACTGAGTGAGAGACTGAGGCAAGTTTTAGAGCAGGAGGGAAAGTTTATTAAAAAGCTTTAGAGTGGGAAATAAAAGGAAGTAAAGTATGCTTGAAAGAGGGCCAATCAGATGACTTGAGAGATCAAGTACGAGGGTACGAGGTTTGATTCTTGACTTGGAGGTTTTATATGTTGGATTCTTCCAGGGTCTGTGTTTAGTCCTCCCCTGATTCTTCCCTTGGGGTGGGCTCTTCACATGCACAGTGGCCTGCCAGCACTTGGAAGGGGCCACATGTGCAGTGTGTTTACTGGAGGTGTATGCATGCTCACTTGAGGCATTCTTGCCTTACCAGTCAAATGTCTCTAGAAGGTCATATCCCACTTAAACTCCACAATTTTTCCTCTAAGGGCCCACGCTTGAGCCCACTTGCCCAGCTTCTGAGATCTTATCAGGAAGCTGTGATCACCAGTTTCAGGTGTTTTTATCCATTGCCTTTCCTTGGTGCTGACTGCCACCAATTATTATTTAGAGACACAATTAACAACCGCCTGACCATCACCTGATGGTCACCTAAAGTTCCTGGTGGTGGGGAGGGCCGTCTCCTGCCCTGCACATGTCTGCCTGACTACTTACTCTAATAATCACACTGGGGATATTAATTTTCTATTGCCACTTAGAAAATTGCCACACACTTAGGGGCTTAAAAGGACCCACTTTTTTTATCTCACAGTTTCTGTGGTCTGAGTTCTGGCATAGGTTAGCTGAGTACTGTGCTCAGAGTCACAGAGGCTGCTGCAATCAACATTTCAACCAGGTTTTGTTCTTATCTGGAGGCATGACCAGGGAAAAAATCTGTTTTCAAACTCATTTAGGTTATTGGCAAAGCTTATTTCTTATGGCTGAATGACTTAGGGTTCTAGCTTCTTGCTGACTATAGGCTATAGGCCTCCTCAGGTCCTAGAAGCTATGTGGAGTTCCCTGCCATGAAGTTTTCTCCACAGGCAGTTCCCAACACATGTGCTTGCTTCTTTAAAACCATCTAGGGAATCTCTCCCTGTAATCTTTTAAAACTGTGTATTAGTCAGGATTCTCTACAGAAACAGAACAAATAGGAGATATATAAAAATACACACACACACACACACACACACACACACACACACACACACACATTGAGAGAGAGAGAGACTATGGGAAATTTATTATGGAAATTGACTTACATGATTTTGAAGGCCAAGAAATCCCACAATATGCCCTCTTCAAGTGAGAGAACCAGGAAAGCCAGTGGTGTAATTCAGATGGAGTAGGAAGGGAGGGACACCAGGATTACTGGTGTAAATCTCAGAGTCCAAAGGCCCAAGAATCAGGAGCTTCCATGGCAAATGGCAGGAGAAGATAGATGTCACAGCTCAAGAAGGAAGAAAGAATTTATGCTTCCTCCACCATTTTTATTCTATTAATGCCCTCAACAGTTTTGATGATGCCTTCCTACATTGCTGAGAGTCGGTCTTTTTTACTCAGTCTACTGATTCAAATGTTAATCTTTTCCAGAAACATCCTCACAGACACACGCAGAAATTACATTTTATCAGCTATCTAAGCATTCCTTAGCCCAGTCAAGTTGACACATAAAATTAACCTTCTTATGTAACAAATATGCATCGTTTTTTATTTTTATTTTTGCCACATTCTATTGTCGTGAAGCCAGTCACAGGTTTCTCCTGCTCTCTAGGTTAAGGGATCACACAAGGGTGACTCAATGAGAGGTCACCTTAATAATGTCTAACATGAGGGACTAATGAGCATCTCCCAAGCTCATGGTTAAGTGTCATAGTGCAAGCACCTGAAGACTAAGCATATATCATTTAATGTATTCACCTATATTTCTTGTGAGATTGTTTTGTATGAAAGTATGCCTCTCTAGCTGAGCACAGCGGCACGTGCCTATAGTCCCAGCTACTTAGGAGGCTGAGGCAGGAGGATCGCTTGAGCCCAGGATTTCAAGACTATAGTGAGGTATGATCATGCCACTGCACTCCAGTCTGAGCAACAGTACAAGACCCTCTCTCTAAAAATAAAAATATATATATATGCAACTTAAAATGGCTCAAAGGACTTTTTAAAGGACTTTTGTTCTCAATAATATATTTTAGCACCGGACGTGGTGTCTCTTGCCTGTAATCCCAGCAATTTGGGAGGCCAAGGCGGGCAGATCATTTGAGCCCAAAAGTTTGAGACAAGACTGGCAACATGGTGAAACCCCTTCTCTACAAAAAATACAAAAACTAGGCAGGCATGGTGGTGCACACCTGTAGCCTTAGCTACTCAGGAGGCTGAGGTGAGAGGATGGCTTGAGCCTGGGAGGTGGAGGTTGCAGTGAGCCAAGATCATGCCACTGCCCTCCAGCCTGGGTGATAGAGCGAGATGCTGTCTCAAAAAAAAAATATATATATATATATAGCTATTTAAAAACAAATACCTCCTATTTACTGCATTTGTGAGACAAACATTCCACTTGGTTTACCATTCTATTTTCCCTTTTCTTCTACTTATTTTTGTTTTGTTTTATTTTGTTATGAAAAAGTAAATAAACATACTTTGCTCTATTTTGCATTTATTTATATCCTGATTTTTTTTTCTTTGACAAAACAAATTTTTGATCTTCAGTAATGGTTTCATCAACAATCTTTCTATCTGTGTTTTCTTACAAAAAGGGAGAGTGAGTGCTAGCTCTAGTGCTAGCAACTACAGCATTCAGAATAACAAAGATAGGCATTGAAAGGCAAGCCTGGATTGACATCAGCAGCAAAAACAAAGCATTATTTATGAGGCTTGCCTGGCTACAATTTTCCAATGGTAATTTCTATTCCCTGACTCATTCCTCTTTTAGCATACACATTTAATGAAAACATTATGGAACAAAACCCAAAAGCAATCTGATGCCAAAGGACACTTAAGTGTTGCTTCGCATGATGAAAAATGTTGTAAGGACAAATCACTGTGACTGGGATATTAATGGGACAAGCCATGGCTTCCGAGTGGCTGTGGTATAGAATTTGGTACACCAGGTAAACAAAGCAACAGCTTTTGTCTTTGCACAACATACAAAGTCACACCCTTATCTAATTGCCTGGATAAACCTTCCCACTTTTTCCATAAGGCTGTAGTGTTTGTTCACAGAAGCAGTTTCCCTGTGGAAATTATCATGATGGACCAGACAGCTGAGGTAATAATGTAACCAGAGTTACTGAACATGTCACTGCTTGCATTAGCAAGAAGATTATATAGTTAATCAATCCACAAATAGTTCCTGAGTTCTTATTAAATGCAAGACACACAGTGGCAAACCAGCCTATAATCAAATGAGATAATGCTAATGATAGCACGTTGTTAACTGTAAATCCCCATTGAAATATGAGTTATGATTATTTAAAATGTTCCTGTGTAGCCTTCCCTCCAAGTAGTAAGACAGTGCTTTTACCTATTCTGTTGGGAATGACCCAGAGTCTTCTGGATGGAAGCACATTATGATTAAAACCAAGTGTACTGGGAACAGGGTCAAAAAGTTGACGGAAAGCAAGTCATATTCTTATGAAGGTGCCCTCGAGATTCCATTACATTCATGACACAATTAGCAAATCTTTGCTCCCTGTGGAGAAAATGGACCGATGTGGGGAAAGAACAAATGCATTTGTAGATGCCCCATCTTTCAGGCAAATTTAATTTATTAAACAGTGTTGTAAATTAATGGTGTTTTTCTCCTATGCAAAGTGCAATATGCCTTAAGACCACCATGTTATCATGGCATTTACCTTTGATTATAAATGTATAGCATGGCATAACATTGGTACATTTTATACGTAGAGACATTGAGAAATGGCTTTTACACATTTCACTGCTTATGAAAAGGAACTTATACTTTAGGCTTACGCCGACTTCCCTGACTTGAGCTCTAGGCTTTTTTCTTATTTTCTATTTCTTTATCATTTACTGAGCAGCTTCTGTTATTTTTCATTTCTCTTCCACAAATAGAGCCTAAACTCAAGGCAGCATTCCTAAAAGAGAGCGCTAATCCCAGTTACTTATTAAGTGGGCTTTGAACACTGACAATTCAATGGTATCTCTTTGACTTGTCAGGTTTGCTGTTGCCTTCAGCTGGAGGGGGTATACAGAGAACCTCTTTTTCTCCTCTTTTTCTTTGTTTATTTTTGCTTCACAATCAGCAGCAGTAATATCAGAACATAGACATCCAACAACTTCCAACCCAGATTGCTCTGGCGTGGCCTTCATATAGTTAAGTGAAGGAGGGTGAGACTTTGTAAACCATTATATCCTTCCAATCTGCACATTGCCATTTTGATGCTAATGTAGTATTCTTAAAGAATATTCCCCAAACTGCAAGCTGCTAAACAGATGCATTCTCCTGACATTCTCATTCAATTTATAGGAATTTTCAAATTTAAAGGCACATGAAACAGTCTTCTTGCAGTGAAGGCTCTTGCTTCTATGCTCTCCAGTGAGAATTGCATACATTTAATGCCTTGATATTAAATTTAATTTTCACCTGCTTTATAATGTTTCTAATCTAATAATCAAGACACCATTATATTTAGCACTTTATTTAGCACTTTATTTTTTAAAATGTAGAGGCCTGAAGCCTAATTAAAATCCTGTGAATTTCAAAGGAACCTAGGGTATTCTAGCCCAATGCAGATAAGGACTGAGATCAAACTCTTTAAAACAGGCTTGAAAAACTCAGCAATCCACCTGTCCAGCGTTCATTTGGCCAACATTTTACAGCAAGCCCATAAAATCCAAAGTAGTTTTGGCTTGAGATAGTCTGTTATAACATGAATAAATCCACAGTGATTTGGCATTTATGTCAGAGCATCCTGCTATTGTTTGGAAAGTTCTCAATCAAGAGAGGTGGATGCTAGATGCTACAGGAAGAAAGCCACCAGGCAAGAAAACCTCAATGAATAGACAAAATAACTAAACTTCAAAAGAAATGAACTTTTCCTGGGTCACTCTGTTTAAAAATAAAAATGCAGCTTTGTGGTTTATTTTGCAGAGTTCCTCGACAATATTGTGAAAGAATATATACCATCTTTAATCAGAACAACAGTGCTAATGTGGGTGAGTGAGATGATGACAGCAGGGAAGGCATTTTTTGCTTTAAATTGGTTTATATTAGGCTGAACTGTGGATGGCAAAATATAATAAAATTAAAAAGAAAAAAAAGAAAGCATGTCTTTTAAAAAGATGCCAGGTTTCCTAATCTAATCATTGTATTATTGGTATATTTTGGGGGACATAGGGTGAATTATAAAAAGATCCACTACTGATAGTGAAAATTATCAGTTTGTAAAACATTAAGAGAAAAATAGAATATTTTATACATGTGGTAAGTAGAGAACAGGGTAACTTTGAAGGAAAGTGTAAGGCAAATTTTAAGCACAACAAGATACATCAGATCTGAGAGGTGCCATGCTAAACAATGTCCATTAAACTGTAAAACTGGATTATGAAGTATTTGCATTCAGGGTGTCCTGAATATGATTGATTCTGTACTGGATTATGTTCTAACTTTCTTACTATTTAAGGATTGGTTCTAAATCTTTAGAATATAAAAGATTAAAAATAGTGAGAGGGAGCTATCACACACGTACTATTAAAAGCTGTATTTGGAATATGTGTGCCAATATCAGTTTTCTTTTTGTAATACTGAATGACAGTGGAATAATCATCAACGAATCCCTAAAGTTTACATCATTTAAGGAAATGGGGAAACAAAATTCCAGATAAATAACAAGACTGAATGGCTAGATTTAAAATAGTGGTTTTAGAAAATAGGATATCACAAGTTACAGTTTTTCAAATGGATTTTTTTTAAGATAAAGAAATTTACAAAAACAGGATAAACAATATAATGGAGAGTAGGAGAAATAGTGATGGGTCTATTTTACAGTAAAGTTTATACAGAATGACATTTTGCAGAAAATAACAGAAGCACCATTTTAAAAAATATATGATATCATTAAGAGCCATGAAGTTAAATGATGAAAGTAAGTGATATACTTTGAAAGATTTTTGAATCCAGAAAATTCTAAATAGAGAATGAGCCTTCTCTAGGTTTTGATTTTTTTTCTTCAGATTATTTCCAACAAAGTTGGGCTATAAACTAACAGAACATCTATCTACAGGAATTTTAATAGGAAAGAATTAGAATTTTAGACTGATTGTTGATCCTTTAAGTATGCTTCTAAGAAAATTCAATCGAGTTTCATGGGTTTTTCTAAATGGGAAGGAGAACAGTATTGATTTAGGATGACTTTCTTTCATTTAGGATTAGAAGAGTTAAATATCTTTAAAAAGCATTTTAAAAATTATTTTGATATATATGATTTTTAATTGCTTTCATATTTTCCAAATACCATGTTAAGATTTTAATGAAATTTTAAAAAAGGAAAAAAAAAACTAATGTAAGAGGAGCATAAACAAAGCCATTCTTCTTTCCCTCAGTTAAAAGTCAAATATGCAGTTTTAGGGCTTACAGATTGCACCACAGTGTCAGGGACTCAGGCACCCTATTGTTCCATGGTATGACCTTAACCTCAGTTCACAAATGACAGCATCTCTATTTCAAGCAACAGGGTAGAAGGGCAGAAAAAGCAAGAATATTGGTGTATGCTTGCTGTTTTTTGAGAATGGTTTCTGTAAGTCATTGCTTAATAGGTTGCTTTCCTTATAACTCATTGTCTAGACCATAGTATGTAGGCATGTTGAGCTCCAAGGGGTTTGGAGGACTGTGGTCTTCAAGATAACAATTAAGGTATTCTATTCGCATGAAAAAGGAAGGATTAGATAATGAAAGAGGAGCAGTATCTGTCATAGCTGAAAATAGACAGAAAGATAGTTAAAGAGTGAGACTTGAATAAGGGTTTCTGTCTACTGAAATGTTATCAAATGCTCATAAAAATTTTAAATATACTTTTAAATAGAACATCTGAAAAATTTTAAATATACCTTTAAACAGAATGTCTGAAAAATTTTAAATATACTTTAAAATAGAACAATTAAATATAATACTTTGTATCCTTGCTGTGAGAGTAAAACTGTGCCATTTAAAATTGAGTCACTACTGTTAAAATAGTCACCACTGTTAAAATAGAGTTAAAATATTTCAATCAAATATTTATATTTCAAATAATTTTGACGATAATAGTATAGCTTTGGCAAGGAGTTGAGTACAACCAGTGATTTAAAAAAATCACAAGATTATATTGTTGAAAATTTTAAAATGCTAAATCAATAAAAGAAATTTTAAAAGTTAGATTTAAAAAGTCTTGAATAGATTTGTTTCTTGAAGACAAATACATGTTTTTACTCACTGATATTTGCATGAAATCTAGTATATAGGAGAGAGTCAAACATCTTTTTTATCTTGAATTTAAAATAATTCTAATTTAAGTATAGTCTCACATTCAGCATAATCTTTTCTTTTACATTTTCGATGATGAATTTTAAATAACCACCTGACAACTAATATACTGTTATATACTTCTTTTAAGTCATAGTACATAAATACATATTTAAACACACATATTTAAATTTGAAAGGTCAGTATGTGTGTGGAGTCAAAAATGTGGTAAAGATAATTGTTACATATTGTTTATATTTAAGAGTTGGTGGCTCATGGGCAGAAGAATTAATTTTGAATGTACTAACTTTTGTGCATGTAAATTTACAGACTTCAGCATATTTTGATTATTGAATAAAGCTTTATGCCCTTTGGAACTTAATTATCTGAATGACAGGTTTTTCTCACATACATTATGTCATCTCATCATATTTTCAAACTTCATAAGTTAGTTCCTTTAAATAATCAGGCAATTTTTTTTTAAATGGCAAGCCAGTTACATTGCTAACCACTTGTTCAATTTAAAAGGTTGTTGGAGAGATGTTATTAAAATTCTGGGATAATCCTGCATTAACGCTGATTTTGACAGCTTTTTAGTAACATGATGTTATCGTAAAATTAATATAAATCACATTCCAATGTTATTAAAAGAATAAGTCTTAAGCTTACCTCTTAAGATACATTTATATTAATTGTTCAAGTATCAATAAGACACACAGCTGAGCTCAGAAATGATATAATTGTGATATAAGTGCCATGCCACATTTGTTTATCCAGTGATGGATTCATGCCTCAATTTTTAAGTTTCTCTTCATTCCTCTTACCATTTGGTGACTTGCGCATGGACTGGTGATGCGCCATGTCTAAATAATTACATTACTGCATCCTTTCAGTTCACAGGCTAAATAATGCCCTTTGCCCCTTTGTCATTTCCCATCTGTCTTTATTGCCCTTCTTGCCCTGATTATATTTCTTGATCCATAATAATCACACTCTTACAAATATCTTCTGCTATCCACTTTTTTCATGCATGGACCCATAAACTTAATAATTCTGGTAAAAACAAACCAATCTAAAACTAAACAAAACCCCACAACTGGGGAGATCGATTTCACTAGAAATGCGTAATCACCTCCTAAGTATTGGTAATATTATCTTCTATCTTCTTCCATACCACCAACACAAAGTCTCTTTCCTAAACCTCTAGAATAGTCTACAACCTTTGCTATTGCCCACTCCATTATCTAACCTTTACCAACTTTCACAGTCATCTTTGTAAAATGTACATCCTTTTCCATTACTCCCAGGCTTATAAACCTTTTAATGGCTGTCAGTTGCCCTTAAGTAGTATACTTATTCCTTAAGGAAGCTTATAATACTCAGTATTATGCAACCTTTGTCCGCCACTCATCCTGTCTGTTTCTCCATCATTCTTAAACAATTATATTATTTCACTTCCTCAAACACAACAACCATTTTCTCATCTTGGGAAATAATTCATATCTGCAGTTAGGCTGCCTGAAAGTGTTTTCTCATTTTCTTCCCTCATCTTCAAATCTAAAGTAGATTTTTTATTATTACCTCTCAAAACACCTTGTTCTTTTCTTCTATTTAGTTACTATGTGTAACTACATGTTTCTGTTTTTACTTACTCTTTGCTTCTCCCACCAGATTCTGGGCTCTACGTAGCAGAGAACACCACCATATGTCCAAGCATAGGACAATTACCTAGAGCATAGAAATTGGTTAAGTGCATGGATAAATGAAGTATGCTATTAGTGGGCAAATAAAGTAATTGGAGAGTATTATATTTTAAATACCAGTGCATAAGCCAATAAATAATCCATTAGCTTTTTTTAAATCACCAATTAACATGTGATGTAGTTTGGATTTTTGTCCCCTCCAAATCTCATGTTGAAATGTGATTCCCTAATGGAGGTGGGACCTGGTGGGAAGTGTTGGGTTCATGGGAGTGGATCCCTCATGAATAGCTTCATGCCCTCCCTGTGGTAATGAGTTCAGGCAAGATCTAGTTGTTAAAAAGAGTCTGTGACCTCCCCGCTTCTCTCCTTGGCCTTACCAGAGGCGGAGCAGATACTGGCACCATGCTTCTTGTATAGCCTACAAGACTATGAGCCAAATAAATATCTTTCCCTTAAAATTACTCAGTCCCAGACATTCCTTTATAAGCAATGGAAAATAGACTACCACATGTTTTGCAAAATAGACTACCACATGTTTTGAAAAAGAATTTTATCAGTTGAATAGTATCAGTGTGTAATTTAATACAATGATGAGCACTTCTACTTCCTCAATGAAGATCTAATTGTGCACTTATTTTTGTATTTTTAATAGAAAGAACTGAATACACCATATGGTTCTAATCCAACCTCATTGTACAGAGGCAGAAACCAGAAAGCCACAGAATTTAAATAAATGTCTATATGCTACACAGGTAGTAAATGGCAAAACTGCTACCAGCATCTACGTACAAATCTTAAATCTTCTTTTTAACAAGCTGAAATGTAAAAATCTTCCAAAAAGTGGCTTTAGTTTTACATAGCTACTTATGAAAAATATGAGAACAGGGCTTTAATATGGTATAAGTTACAGAGTTATCTTTGTTTATATATACTAATGGTAGCCAAATAATACTTGATAGTTAAATGAAGCTAGTGTTTAGTGTAATAGGTTTCCACTGAGCCTGAGCTATTTGTCTTATTCAGTTGTTTTCTTTAGTGCTCCTATAGAAGTCTTCCTCTACAATTGATACTTACTTACTAATGTGCACACTGATACTTAAGGTCTGTTTAACCTTCTTTAGGTGTCACGTTAAATTTAGTGAAGTCGCCTTTAGTTCTTGACTGAAGGCTAGAAATAAGACCAGATCTGTCAACTTTTCTGTTACTCAAGACCTCTGGATAGATTTATAGAGGAAATATAAGGACACAAGCATCTTTTAAAGTTGAAGCTCTGTTCATCCCTCAAGGTAATAAAATAGGTAGAATTTACTATAATTACATTCCTTTCTAAATTGTAATATATATATTTATATATATATATATATTTTTTTCCCCAGCCCAATAATTGTTAATACATTTGAAAAGTAAGGGTTTTTTTTTGGCCTGTTTCCTCATTACTACACATTCCTAATTCTTTATCGTCCTTGTCTTGTTGTTTCTTCTTTCTAGGACACATCTTTAAGTTAACTCAAAATGATACTGGGGCTTCAAAAGAATAACTGTCAGAGAAATGTTTCCAACTAGGAAGTTTCATTCAATTAAAATAAAGTGAGCTGTATTTCATCAGAATAGGTAATGTTCTAGAATTCCAAGGCAGAGAAAATTGCATCTACAGGTCAGGCTGCTTTTATTTATGGTTTTATTAAATTGTATTGTTTATTACCATGTACAAGTTTATAACCCACACAGTGATATTATGAAATATATATTTGGTCTTTGTTCCTGTTTCCTGGCACATAACTCCTAAAATCTTTGAAATCTTCAAAGTACTAAGTGTCTTTTATAAATGAGTCGACTGATGGCTGGCAGTCCCTAGGTAGCCTTGGGATAGGGCTGGGGATTGATCACCAGAAAGACCAAGGTAGGATTAGAGGTTTAGGACTTTTAGGCCCACCTCCCAACCTCCCAGGAGGGGAGAAAGGCTGAAAGTTAAGTTGATCACCAATGGCTTATAATTTAATCAATCATGCCTACAAAATGAAGCCTTCATAAAAGCCGAATGATAGAGTTTAGATGAGTTTCTGGATAACTGAACACATGGAGGTCCCTGGAAGGTGGCTTGAATGGGGAGAACATGAAAACTCTGCACCCCTTCCCTCATACCTCACCCTACGCATCCCTTCATCTGTATCCATTGAAATATCCTTTATAATAAACAAGTAAATGTGTTTCCTTGAATTCTGTTAGCTGCTGTAGCAAGTTATTTGAATCTGAAGAGGAAGTTATGGGGACCCCACTTTATAGCTTGTTGTCAGAAGCACAGTTAAAAGAACCTGGGGCTTGTGATTGGCACTGGAAGTGGGGGACACTCTTCTGGGACTGAGCCTTTATCCACCTGTCTGTGTCAGGATTGAATTGAAGGATGCCCAGCTGCAAATTCCTCTGCAGAATTGATTGCTTGTTTGCTGCTCTGGAGAAATCCCACACAGCTGGTGTCAGAAACATGTTGTGAGGGATAGTGAGTGAAACTGAGTTTGTTTTTTCCACTCACACACTCACTCTGATTCTTTAAAAAATTTTTCCTTGTTTCTAGAGAACATTATGCCTCTATATTCATTTCTAATTTCTTAGTCATAGGCTGTTTTATATATCTTTCTCTCTAGCTTATACTGTGATTCTTCCCACTTCACGGAACCTTTATATGGTGATCCCAGAGAGCATTAGTGAGAGCTAATCATAGCTCTTGTCTGTTTGCAAAAGGTGCAAATATAGTTCCTATGACAATAAGCCTTTCATCTGCATGCCAGTCACATTGCAAATCTCGTGATCTACAAGTGGTAAAAGTCTCAATGTGCACAAATTTTATCTCGGTCAAGTCAAAAATTTAAACAGTTTATTTGAGGATACTAATACTAGCCTAATTCATAAATTATTGCAAAAATCAAATGACGTATTTCTTAGTAAGCAATTTGTAATAGATAAAGAAGAGATATCGTAATAAAATGAGCTATGATGGTATCATTATTTACTAAATCCCAGACAGAAGTCAGTACCAATATACGGTTGTTATCCAATGGCATATCTCCAAAGTGTTTTGGTGGTTTTGCAAGGTCTTCCTCAGCTTCTCTTCTACTCAGAGAAATAGGAGTATAGAGTTCCAGGTAAAAGTAAACATTATACTTTAATTTCTAACTTTTCAAGTTAAGTAAAATGCGAAAGTTTTAAGACTGAATTCAGATTGTTTCAAGCAAAGCAAAACTTAAGCATGTCATTTAGCAAAGTTGTTGAGTTTAAATTTTCTCAGCAGGTTAATTTTTATTTCTATGTTTTAAAACACGGTACTCTTCTCTAAGCTGTTTCTTCATCCATTTAGCATTACTATGTGCTCGATGGCTTTACTACTGTAAGGACCACAATAATCTCATTTACTTGGAGCCTATTTGCTAAAGCACTGGGAATTTTATGTGTCTTAGTCCATTTTGTGCTGCTATAGTAGGACACCTAAGAATGGGCAATTCATAATGAACAGAGACTTACTGGCTTGCAGTTCTGGAGGCTGGAAAGTCCAAGATCAAGAGTCTGGCATCTGGTGAGAGCCTTCTTGCTTTGTCAGCCTATAATAGAAGGGCAAAGAGAAAGGGAAAGAGAAAACTCATAGCTTCAAACTGTTTTTGTAATTAGCATTACTCCATTCATGATGGTTGGGCCTCATGACCTAAACACCTCTTATAAGATTCCTCTTCCTAATACTGTTACGTTGGGGATTAATTTTCCAACAGAAGCTTTCTGTAAGACACATGAAAACCATAGCAATAAGTTATCCTAAAAATCATTTTGTTAATTTGCTTAAACTATTTTACATTCATATTTTTACATAAATATATAAGTATTATAAATCGAAGATTCAATTTGAATTAATATTTCCAAGAACATCTTTTTCAAAAATCTAAATTACATATGTGTTTGAAGCTATAATTTAAATGTCTAATTTGATTTTCCAAAAATCTTTAAAAAAGATTTAATTGATCCTCATTATTTGCAGATTCTATATTTTCAAATTTTCCAACTTTCTAAAATATATTTGTAAAAACAAAATCAAAGCTATGACACTTTCCTAGTCATTTGTGGACATGCTCGTGGTGGTAAAAAATTTAAATCATTAATAGAACTTAAAAGTGACAGGACTCAAAATGGCATGGGGTTTATGACGAACCTAGGTCGGAAACCTGAGTATAAAAATTTACTATTCTTCGGCCGGGCGCAGTGGCTCATGCCTGTAATCCCAGCACTTTGGGAGGCCGAGGCAGGTGGATCACAAGGTCAGGAGTTCAAGACCAGTCTGGCCAAGATGGTGAAGACCTGTCTCTACTAAAAATACAAAAAAGTAGCCAGGCGTGGTCGTGGGCGCCTGTAATCCCAGCTACTCGGGAGGTTGAGGCAGAGAATTGCTTGAACCCCAGAGGCAGAGGTTGCAGTGAGCTGAGATCGTGCCACTGCACTCCAGCCTGGGCGACAGAGCGAGACTCCGTCTCAAAAAAAAAAAAAAAAAAAAATTACTACTCTTCTTATTGCTACCCATATACAATCAATTACTATTTCCTTTGGACATCATGGGATAAGTAACATGTTTATGAAATCCACCATTTCTGGACTTACTGAATAATTTTCTAACCATTCTTCCCAGTGACTTCAATGTTGTATTTCTCACATCCATTTTATTGCCAAAGTTCACCATAATATATTATTTAAAATAGCACACTAATTAATATTATTCAATAACTGAAAAGAACTATTGCAAAAATTTAAGAATTATTTTTGTTATTTAAAATGTATATAATTGGATATTGATAATTTTTAATTGTATACATTTATAGGATTCAGAGTTATGCTGTGATATATGTATACAATGTGGAATGATTGAATCAAGCAAATGTATATACCCATCACCTCAAATATTTATTATTTATTCCTCCCATCTGAAACATTGTACCCTTTGACTATTACCTCTCAGTTTTTCCCTGTCCCCAGGCTCTGGTAACTACCATTCTGGCCTCTGCTTCTACGTGCTTGATATTTTTAGATTCCACATATAAGCAAGTCCATGTGGTATCTGTGTTTCTGTGCCTGGCTTATTTCACTTAGCGTAATATCCTCCAAGTTCATTCATGTTGTCACAAATGGCAAAATTTTATTCTTTTTAAGGCTGAATAATATTCCATTGTGTGTATATTTAAAATCTTGTCTTCATCTATTCTTTGGTGATGGACACTTATATTGAATCCAAAACTTGGGTATTGTGAATAGGGCTTCAATAAAACATAAGAGTGCAGATAGCTCTTCAGCATACTGATTTCAAATCCTCTGGATATGTTCCTAGAAGTAAGATTGCTAGATCATATGGTAACACTATTTTTAGTTTTTAAAGCAACCTCCATACTGTTTTCCATAATGGCTGTATTAATTTACATTCCTTCCAACAGTGTGCAAGAGTTCCCTTTTCTCCACATTCTGACCAACACATGTCTTTCATCTTTCTGATAATAGCCATTCTGGTAGATGTGAGGTAATGTCTCATTTTGGCTTTAATTTGCATTTTCCTAATTATTAGTGATGCTAAACATTTTTTAATGTATCTGATGGCCATTTGTGTAATTTCTTTTGAGAAATGTTTATTCAGGTTCTTTGCCCATTTTTAAATCAGGTTATTTGTCTTCTTGTCTAGCAAAAATTTTAACCCTAAGAACAGTGTTTAATGGGTTAGGACACCACCTGAAATTGTATGCAGGATGTTGTTAAAATGCTTCTTAGTGATTTGTATCACCCTTGGAAAATATATACAATCTTTTATCAGATTATACAAGGAGTCTTGATCATGTCTCCTACCAAAATAAAAAGTCTAAAGTCCTTAGGAAAGCCTAAAGGGATTTTATTGTACTCCTGCTACCTTTGCGGACTTGTCTCTTATTCCTTATTTATACTGCAGCAACATTAAACTGCTTGTGGTTCCTAGCACACACCTTAGCTTTCCTAATAGAGACTACATTGATTGAATGCTTTTGTGTTTGTACATTCCTACGCAGTACCTGGTTAAGTCCTCCTCATTCTTTCAGACACTTTACGAAAAATTGGAACTATATTAAATGGGCTAAAAAAAAGTAATAAAAGACCAGTGTATCTGAGCACAGCAGGAGGGAGTCCAGTGGTATAGCATGATGTAAGAATGTCAGAGAGGTAGTCAGGGGCCAGATTACATGAAATGTTGTAAACTGGGCTAGGATGTTGGGATTTTATTCTAGTGTGATGAAAAGCCATTAGAAAGTTGTAATAGAGAAGTCTAACGTGAAGTGATTTCCGTTTTTTAAAATGCCACTCTGTCCATGCCTACAAATAAGGGGAAAAAACTCCAAAATAACAACAAAAAATACCACTCTGATATTGTATAGAAAATAGACTGTAGGAGGAGAGATGGGAGTAGTGAGACAAATTATGAGGATATGACAATACTCTATCCAGGACAATGGTTATTTAGCAAGGATTATAGCAGTGACATTGGAAAAAAACAGTCCTTCTGGCTTTATGCTGGGATATACTTTGGAGATCAAGTTGACAGGGCATACTGATGAACTGGATGAGAGAAAATTGAGAGAACGCCTAGATTTTTGATGCTAGTAATTGGATAAATGATTCTGTCATTTATTGAGTGAGGGAAAATAAAAAGAAAGGAAGCATGACTCCTTATATTCTTGCTTGGGAGATTGAATGAAGGGTAATAGGCATGATATAAATAAAATAATCTACAAGGAAAAACAAGTTTTCTATCAGGTAGATAGGGTTTCTATTTAAGCATGTTGCGTTTTAAGTATCTGTGAATGTCTAGTTCTAGAAATTTATATCTAATTCTAGGAAAGTTTTTGTTTGCCATACAACATTAGAAATAATTTTAACACTTAAAATCATTATTTTAATAATACAAATTAGGTTATTAACTAGGGATAATTTTTACCTTTAAAAGCAGTATTGCAATAATACTGACCTTTAAAAGCAATATGCTTCCTTTGATGATGTTTATGAAATAACTCTGCATACACTGCAAACTATATGGAGATGAAGGCTTCTGAGCTCATACAGAAAGATTCACATTTAATTAGAATCATCCACATAATGCTTCAGACTTCTTTTGTGAGTATTGGTGATACGGATTTATATATAACTTGACTTGATTAATTGCAGTTAATCCATTTTTAAACAATTGGCTTTCTAATAAAATAATAAATAAACCCTTAACAAAATCCTTTTGAGAATATAGGCTGCAATTTTTAAAGTTTGACAATTGAAAGGGAACTAATGGCTGTAATATTGAATCCTAAATAAAGACAACAGATTTTGGCCTTTTGAGATTACTGCACAAAGGAATATTTCAATATTACCTTTTTGTAAATGTGGAATAAATACTTTGATAAATAGCGTTAAGCATGATACATTATGATTTAAATTCAGGTACCTCATAAGCGGGCTATTTACTTTTCTTAATTATTTCTTTTGTCTACCCATTGGGTTAAAATTGCCTCACTCTGTGTCATGCTGGCAATGCTTTCACTTCTTTGTTAGCACTCATCCATGAAATCAAGACATGTTACTGACATCTCCTATCAGATGTCTAATAGAATCTGAAACTTCACTTGGTCCACGGTAGCTCCTGCTATTCCTTGCAGCAAATGCGTTCATTGCCCATCAGCATGACTTCACTCACTCTCCGAAGCTTGTTTAAACTTTCTCAGGTAAATGCTCTGGCTGACTTCCCATTTTCACCTGTAGTAACTGCATCTTTGTCTCTGAAGACTCTTTCTCCCCAAAACTGTAGAAACCCACTAGGATGATGCCAACTGTGCAGAGGAATTAGCACCATTTAACAAATAACTACTTGGAGTTGATAAATACCTCAGTTCCTCCCCACTGAGGTGGAATAATTCTGAGCTATCTGTGATGCTGTTTCCCAGAACTTTCTCACAGTCACTCCCTGTGTCAGCTGGCTTAATAGGACATCTGTAGTGGCAGTTTTCCTTTTCTTATTTTCCCTTGACACTTCCCTACTCATTCTTTGATCTTCCCAAATAGACAGCTTGTGCTCAACTCCTTGTCTCACGGTCTGTTTCTAGAGTCCAAAGTGAGATTCTCCCAACAAACCATCTCTGAGGGTTCTATAGACTTTTTTGCATATCGTTTCGTAGTCTTATAGCAATTCCTGTCCTCAATATGTGGTAGAGATAGACAATGAATATTTTATTGTAATCCAATGTCAAAAGTGAATTTCACCTATTGTGTTGTACATAATAGATAAAAGTACAGGAAAATAAAAGAGCTGATTGAAATGCAGCACATTCAGACCGGCAGTTTCCAGAAGGATTTCCAGAATGGCATTATCATTTTGATGTTTCAGTGAAAAAATCGCTCATCTAGCAATGACTTGTTGATTATTGTGACCATCCCAATCACTCCTTTGAAGGCTGAGGGGTAGAAAGATAGAGAAGATCGGGTCTCTGCTTAGGAGTTCATAGTCTTTTCTCCTACCTGTTTTGGACTTATAGTTTCTATCTTTGTGGGGTTATGAGGAAGAAAAGAAGGATGAGGAGGAAATAGAGATAGAAGAAAACAAGGAGAATAATAAGGAAGAAGAAGATCAATCACATGTTTGTAGAACTAAATTTCTAAGCAAATAGAAAGCCCAGTGAAGCGGTCTTCCAGTAGCTATGTGAGAAATGTTCCTTCATGACTGAAGAGATAGGAAAAAGGTACCTGTAGAATGATAGCTTTGAAGCCATCTTCTAAGGGCCATAGTGTGTCTTCTCTTTGCTTTAACTTTGGCACAGTTGATCTCTGGGTCATTACAGGAATAATAGCATAGGTGATCAGGCAACCTAAATGAGGCTTCTGAAATTCTACAGGTGGATGGGGAATGCACACAGTATAAAGAGCTATTGAAATGAGAGCAATTTCTTATTTACAAACACATATTTCTTAACATGTGGTTTTCCATATTTTAGAGAAGCCTGAACTTGATTTTGTTTCTAGCCCTGTGTGTTTGTGTGTGAGGAGAGAGGGGGCTGAGTGGAAAAGGGCTTAAACCTGGGGGATGATTACGGCAGTTCCAGTGTTCCCTCACAGGAACATAATAATTGCTGTTAACAATGTCTTTTCCAAAGTTGAAAGCTATAGCGTAAGTAAAATAAATGTTTATAGATATCAGGCCTTAAAGCCAGTGAAATTGAAACAAACATTCTTGAGTCGCTCCTTAGAGATGCACACAATTAATTGAAGTCAGATAATTGCATGTGTAATGGCTTCTTGTACACTAAGTACCTGTTTACAAATCAAATTATTCAATTTGGAGTCTCAAGTGTGTGCTTTCTATGCTCAATTAACCCCTTATGACTATGCATAAACACCTAGTTTATAAAAATGTGGCTTTTAATATTTTTAAGACCATCTAAATTATACTACAAATTTATACAATGAAGTATAAAATAAAAACCTGTTATTATTTTGTAAGTTAAGAGATGTAACATATCAAGTATTGCTCTGAGTTGTTTGCTGCTGTTTCAGGTTTACATGTTTATTTGTGAAGCTTGTATTTAAATAAGTTTTCTATGCAAGTGAGATACACTTTAAGAGATACATGCCTCGTAAAAACATGCCTGATAAAAATCTAAAAGGGCAACTTTCTGAAGACATTTGAGAGTAGCAACCATGCTGCTGCTAACTGAAAAGTACATTTGTTAGAATTGTTCATTTAATTATTTACTCATTTGAATTTTGTTGCACACCATATATAGAGTACCACTGAAAGTGTACAAACAGAAAAAAAGACTTGATCCCTACATTCCACACATGATTACATAGATCCGATCCATAACTCTAAGGATGAAATAGGCATACTGTTATGAGCTTATACCCTTAGACAAACAAGTTTCAAAGCCCAGTTCCATATCTCAAGAAATGAGCAAAACGAGAATAATTATATCATCACTGAGCTTTAGTTTTCTTATCAGTAGAAGTGAACCAGTGTAACATCTTGCTCAGGTATGAATATGAAAACTGTTAAAATGTTTATCATATTCTAAAGGCACATAGAAAAAATAATACATCTTATTGCTCTCTAAGTTAAGAAAACATATTCTACTCTTTTTAGTGATTCAGTTTCTATCATTTTTACAAATGGGTAAGATTAAAAAAAAGCTCTTAAATGGATAATAAATGCCACAGGTAAAGTAAAATCCTTTCGTAGGTAGGCTCAAAAGAAGCAAGAATAAGATTAAGATTCATATAGTGAAGTTACATTGTCAACTTGAAAGCTGTGTGACCATTTGGCTAAACAAATGGTACGATAATAGGGTCAGAGGACAAATTATAGAATGTATAAAGTAGATAAATTGCATTTAGTACTGTTATAGATTTAGGCCTACTTTCAGAGCTAAAAGGCCTTTGATATGAATAATACGGTAAAAACTAGAAAAAAAAAACAATTTGGATTAAAAATTCTCATTTATTTTCTATTAAACTCTTCAACTAGAGTAAATATTTGAAATAATTCTTCTCTCCAGATAAAAACAAAAGAATATCATATAGCATTTGGGGTGAAGATAGAATATAATCCTATTTTATTTTTATATTATCATTTTAAAAGGTTATCTTCAGTAATAAGACTTTGCTTTTCAGTGGTAGGAAAAAAAAATAAATAGATATCCCTGGCATTGGTTTTCCCACATATGGGAGAATTAAGAGAGGGCTGTTTATTAATTTCCTGAACATTACTGCTTTTAGCATTCATTTTGGTGACTGAATATTGACTGTTTGAATTGGGTAAAGTTCACTTGGGTAAAGGAGTCTATATTTATTTTACTTGGTTCCTAAAATATAATTATATTTTATTTTTATATAATATATTTAAGGCTTGTAGGGTCAGGAAAAAAAGGCCTTTAAATATTTGTTTCCTCTTTTATTCCCTCCCTTCCTCTCCCTTTTCCTGCTTTGCTCTCTAACTTTTTTGTCAGTCTTTTCAAAGTGAGATGAGCAGTGTTTCCTATTTATGTTCTCTTAAAGGGAAGAAGCCCTTGAGAAAAAAAAAAAAATCATTGACTACTTGTGCCCCTGATGATTTGACTATATATGTTTAATATCTACAACGAGTTAGGTTTAAAAGGCTGATTCTTCTATTATAAAATAGTCATAGAGCTGTCAAACTCCACTCATTTTTGTTGTTGGCTAAGTAGGGGATATATATTAAAAAATAACCACACACCCATCATGTACTTTGCACTGATTTTTGTAAATCATGCTTCCTATACTGATTACACATTTTAAGCAGTAACCCAAAGCACTTAGACTTCTTGTGGCCCTTATGCATGACAGGCTTTTGTGAGTCTGTCAGACAGCTTCTGAGTATGTTTTTGCTATAGCGATTTTCTTCATAATCAGTCTATCTCTTTTTCACAAATGAATTGGATTGTTAGCTGAAGTGTATTAGTTATACAGTCAACACTAGGAACAGGATAGACCTGTGGTTCCATTAGATGTAAGAGGAGTTTTGAAAATATCACCAGTTGATCAAGTATTCATTACTGGAGAGATGATATTTTATAGCTTTTCAAAATAGTAGGATGTGGCTTTACTACTGCCTGAAATAGTGGGAAAGAAATGGAAAAGCAATCTCATTTACTCCATCTGTCTCATTTAGTATCCATTCCAACTCTTTGTATTAAAAGTCATTTTTTCCGTGGTTATTTTTTTTAGAACAAATGTGATTTAAAACATGGTGGTAATGTTGAGGGAAAAAAATGGCATTTGAGCAATTTGAGGCATAAACTCAGCAAGTAGCTGTCTTTAAAAAATTGTGCAAAAAAATGGATACATGCAGAATATTTATATTGGTGGCACCAATATTTCTTTTAAAAAGTAGATCAGTTTTCCAGGGACAGAAAAATGTGACTTTTTGCTAAAGATGTCATGGTAACCTTCATAGTATTAATAAATAAATAAGAACATTTTTAGAAGTAGCACATAAGAAATGGCAAGTGTCTGAGTTTTCTGAAATAGTGTAGTGTAACAGAATCTGACCATTGCTTTTTTATTTCCTTAAAGAAAGTATGATATTGAAATATCCTTATGCTTTGACTTTCTACCATTTCTGATGGTAAATGAGTAAAGAAACAATGTTACTTTCACCAACCAAAAGAAAAATACAAAAACAAAACCATCAAGATATATAACCTACTGATGTCAACTTATTTAGTGAATGGAACAGATATTTTCCGCATTGTAGAAAAAATTAAGACTGAAATCTGGCATTTTTCTTGTTTATGTGCTACTCATCATCATGTATTAGAATTTCTTAGGTCTAAAGTTTATTTTGTGAAAAAAATGAAAATTGTTTTTGTTCATCATAAAGGTGATGAACAGGTGATGTCTACTTCACATGAAGGTATTTTGAATACGTAAGTAATAGTGCGTGTGCTCTGGGTTTCTACGGCTAGTGGTGACTTAAGATGGCTACACGTGGGCCGGGCGCGGTGGCTCGCGCCTGTAATCCCAGCGCTTTGGGAGGCCGAGGCGGGCGGATCACGAGGTCAGGAGATCGAGACCACGGTGAAACCCCGTCTCTACTAAAAATACAAAAAAAAATTAGCCGGGCCCGGTGGCGGGCGCCTGTAGTCCCAGCTACTTGTGAGGCTGAGGCCGGAGAATGGCGTGAACCCAGGAGGCGGAGCTTGCAGTGAGCCGAGATCGCGCCACTGCACTCCAGCCTGGGGCGACAGAGCAAGACTCTGTCTCAAAGAAAAAAAAAAAGAAAAGATGGCCACGCATATTGTTCATGGTTCTCATCAGATCCCCTTTTGGCAAGGTTATGCATTTTCATTAGACTGGCCTGCATACTACATCCTGACTTACGGAAGATTCTATCTTCACAGTCTAACAAATTGAATTAATAGCTAACCATTCTAGCGATATTGCGTACCATGGACTTGGAATCTTGGTCATTGCGTCTTCTGTTTTCTGGTTTTAGATGTTTAGTAATGGAAGCTTTTAACATAAACATGAATTATTATTAATAATTGCAGGCCTGGCACTGTGGCTCACTCCTGTAATCCCAGCACTTCAGGAGGCTAAGGCGGGCGGATCACCTGAGGTCAGGAGTCTGAGACCAGTCTGGCCAGCTCGGCGAAACCCCGCCTCTACTAAAAGTATAAAAATTAGCCGGGCTGGTGGTGGTGCCTGTAATTCCAGCTACTCTGTAGGCTGAGGCAGGAGAATCGCTTGAACCTGGGAGGCGGAGGTTGCAGTGAGCCAAGATCGCGCCACTGCACTCCAGCCTGGGCGACGCAGCAAGACTCTATCCTTAGAACTAAACAAAACAAAAACAAAAACAGAAAAAAACATGAATAATAATTGCAAACTTCCTGTAAATTCTACTAGATTATAATAATTCAAACTCAATATGGGTCTTTGTATTGAGAATCTCTCTGAGACAGATTTTTAATTTGGAAAATATACTTCATTTTCTTAATCATGCTTCCTAATGGATAAGATTCTTGTTACTGACTTTTCATCTTTGATCTTTTTTCCCTTGGATCCACTGATTATGAGAATAAAAGCATTATTTGTCAATACCAATGGTTTAGGTGATGATACTAGTTTTCTATTTTAATTTTATATTGTTGAACCATATGATTGACAAGACAAACAATGCTGAAGATTTTAAGGAGAGATGCATGCCCTGTGTTTAATGAAGAAAAATACAATGGATTGGATCCATCAAGATAAAAATATTTTGAGAAAAGAAATAATAGTATTCAGTTCCCTGACTGAACTTAATGGGTTTACAATGATCACAGTATTTTGCATTAATCTGTTCCCTCTAATTCATTCTCATCCTCATATAAAATAATATAAAAATGCTACCATTTGTTTATATCATTTTTCTCCAATGAGCTTACATATCGTTTACTTCATAATATTTTTTAAAGTGACATAATTCTTTAATGTATCAGAACTTTTTTGAAGAACAATTATCATGTCTTCTTGATTTTCAAGAAAAAAAGTGGATGTGGATTATATTCCAAAATATTTTGTAAGAGTTGTGAAATAAACTGATAACCTTAAAAGCCACAACAGAAGATAAATACAATGAACATGATTATTTTTAAGGCATGATTGTCATCATCTCTAACCAATATTAATAGAAAGAAACAGATACAACTGAACACAGGCACGTGAACAGAGGCACATGAAAAAGATATGAGTGAAATGTGAAAATGGCTGTTGAGAAACACTATCCAAAAATGTTAGAAATAATGAGGTATAGATCAAAGTATATGCCTGGTCATTAATTGGAAGAAAATAATTGGCAATATTATGAGATTAACTAGCTAGCTAACTCATACCGTTCAAAATCTCTGAAATAGTTCAGAGAAAAGTACGGGGGTCAAGAAATCTATTTCCACAGATTTTCTAGAAGGTAGAGGGAAACATCTGAATTCTGCATGTGTGGACAATTGCAGGGGTCCCCAACCCCCAGGCCATGGACCCGTATGTTTCCTGGCCTGTTAGGAACCAGGTCCCACAGCAGGAGGTGAGCCCTGGGCGAGTGAAGCCTCATCTGTGTTTACAGCCACTCCTCATCACTCAAATTACCATCTGAGCTCCACCTCCTGCCAGATCAGCAGCAGCATTAGATTCTCATAGGAGTAGGAGCCTGGTTGTGAACTGCGCATGTGAAGGATGTAGGTTCCAGGCTCTTTAAGAGAATCGAATGGCTGATGATCTGTCACTATCCCCCAGTACCCCTAGATGGGACCATCTAGTTGCAAAACAACAAGCTCAGGGTTCCCACTGATTCCACATTATGGAGTGTTGTATAATTATTTCATTATATATTACAATGTAATGTTAATAAGAATAAAGTGCACAATAAATGCAATACTCTTGAGTCATTCTGAAACCATTTTCCCTACCCAAGTCCATGGAAAAATTGTCTTCTACAAAACCGGTCCCTGGTATCAAAAAGTTTGGGGACCACTGCACTATTGAATTTATTGTTTTATTATCGCTTTTGGTTTTCAGAAATTTTCACTTATAGCTATATCTTAGTCTAGAGCTTCTTATACTTGAAAAATATATATGTCATTTTTAAAGAAAAAAATCATAAACCCACAATCTTATAGTAATATGTTAATTGCAATAGTATTTAAAATGGTGGAAAAATACAACCATATATAAGTCCCTTATGCTAATAGCTCTCACAAAATTATAAAGCCAAACAAATTAAATATAAACTATAAAAACAATAAAATTCAAATTAACAACATTAATTTTTCTTTGACAAATAATGCTGTTTTGCTGAAACAAAATTGTCGTTCATGATGTGGATACCAGCTTCTTAGGCACAGGCTCTTCCAGGCAAACTGTCATAAAATTTTCCATTTCAAGCTGTACCAAGATTTTTATGTGTGTATCAGTGACACTATTTACTGTTTTGTTGGTTTGAATTGTGTTACTGTGTCCAGTTTCCCTCCCAACTCCTTATTAGCCTGTGATAAAGTACTGCTATTGCCAACCCAATAACATGGAATATACAAAGATAGCCACTCAAATATAATAATATTTAGTCTTAGGCAGCCAATTGATTCAAAACGCTTCAAGAAATTTTTAAAGGTTTTCTTATTGAGTGTTCAGGGTTCTTAGGAATAGTTTTGGAAAGTCCCAGGGATCCTCAGAACTCAGTGGAGGAGTATTAAATCAGCTGTGACCAAAATACAAAAGAAATTACTTAAAAAAAAATCACATATCAGACTAAATATGTTAGTAAAAGGAAACAATGTCCAAGAAACAAAGCAAATAGGATAAAAACAAAAGGGAAAATTCTCCAAACATAAGGTTGTAATATCAAAACAAGAGAAATTCAGAAAAAATTATGTAAAACAACAAGCAAATTGAGTGTATTTAAGGTTCGGGGGTACATGTGCAAGTTTGTTACGTAGGTGCATTGTGTGATGCTAAGTTCTGGGTTCCTATTGATCCTGTCACCCATATAGTGAACACAGGGCCCAACAGGAAATTTTCAGCCCTTATCTCCTTCCTTCTCATACCCCAGTGTCTATTGTTCCCATGTTTATGTCTGTGTGTACCCAAACACATTGAATTTCTAAAACTGAAAACCATAAAATACAGGTTGTAATGTGGACCTCGTATTTTTTCCCCTGTAAAAAGAAAGAAAAAAAAAAAAAGTAGTGCTGATTTCAGGGATAATGGTGGTAGGATGATAGAGTCAAATTGACGGTGGGCTACGGTTAGGACCAAATGCAAAATATCTAGAGCTCAAAGAAGGGTATTCAAAATCTAGTCCATTTAAACAGAATCCAAAACAAATTAAAGTGTGAAGAAAATGTCAAATGTGTTAAAAATTCTTTAGGTATTTAGTTTTGGTTGGCAGCCAAGTCTTTGTCCTTTGATATGGATTGACATCTATCTAAATTTGAGATGATTTTCATTTTATTTTGTTACTTTTGCCTCCTGAAGCAGAATCCCATCAACAGCCTCTTCTTGCCAATAGAAAAGAACAGCCTTACAGGAGCGAAGAAAGGACCTTAACTACATGACCTTCCTGCAGAGATGTGTGATGGCTTTATGATGTTTGGCAGCAGGTCCATCTCTGTGGCATTCTGCATTAGTGTTTTTCTTCTGTAGTTATTGAAATGCTAATTCAGTTGCAGTTGATAAAAAATGTTTATAGTAACGTCACATTACTATTTTTCGCCAAATTCTTTGCTACGATTTTCTCCAAATGTGAATATGAGGTTGATATTTGGGTATTACAATTCAAAGCAAATTCAATTCTTAAACCTTTTATTGGACAAATCCAGTTCCAACTTTCAATTTAATTGAGGTAAAAGGTAAAGTAATAGTGGGAACTTGTAAGAGATTCTTTCTTTGTTTGCCTGTGTCAATATATTTTCTGTTTGTGATAACAAAAAGGAAAAAATAACCATAATCATACAATATAATTATCACTTTTACATTTTTTCCCTGTTTGCTTAAACATATATTATACATATGTATTCCATGCCTTTTGTATTATTCTGGCTCCCATGAATGATATATTATAAGCATTTTCATTTTGCTATATAGCATTTTAATCATACATAAAATTAATTTCATTAATTAAATTATGCCATACAAGATTAAATTATCACAGAATCAAAAAAATCAAAAGTTGAACAGAAGCTTCAAATATAATCACTCAAATATCATCATTGTTAACATTTCTATTTACAGTTTTCAGATTTTATTTTTCAGAATATATATGTGAATATGAACACATTTGTAGGAATTTCTGTTGGTGCTGCACAAATATACCCTAGACCCTCATTAGCACATGCCCATGATATCTTCTTGAAAGCATCAATGATGCTGTTCTTCAAAACATTCTTTCAGTTGAAGTGTTGCTGAGTCAATGCTCCAGGAAATAGTTTTTGGCCCAGTGATGAGAATTAAAAGATAAAAAGCTCAGCTTCCTTGAAACTCAGATGGAATGACTTTAAGACATTGTGGTGGTTTATTCCTATTCGATGTGGGACACTTCTAAAGAGAAACTGCAGCATTCTCCATTAGCCTGACAAAGATTATGGAGTTTCTTCTTAACCAATCATCTTTTCCTCTCCTCTTTTCACAGAGGTTAGACCTGTACCATGATCTGAAGAGTCTTCCTTCTAAACTCTTTCTCCTCTTTACTCTTCACATGTGTTTCCCGAATAAATCTCTTGTATATCTAATCCTGTTTTGCCTGCTTTTCAAAAAATCCAAACTAACACAAGTAGTGCCAGGAGTAGCAGGAGAAAACAAAGGTAAAATGAAATTTTGGGACTGGTCAACAAATGACCTAATGGTCAAATTGTTGCAATTGGCATAGCAAGGTTAACATTAAAATAAAAGCTATAGCTGCTACCAGGATACTTTGGACTCCAGGTGTAGAAAGGAGTCACCATCTTGGCTAGAGTAATTGATGGTTATAAGCAGGAGGTGGAAGGACTGCATTTACATAGTTGGTGCCGGTAGACAAATATATGGAACATGGGTTACCCATGTGGACCTCTTGAGTACCCTCATCCCCATTGTAACTGAATGGACATTTACAACAATTATAGCCTGAGAAGCCCATGATTTCCAAGGGCTTAGGCCCTAAGGAATGAAGGTTCGGATCACAACACATGATTAGGCACCAAGATCTGTCAAAGTAATAGCTGAAGGTTAGGGGATTTTTTAGAAAGGACAAAGGAGAAGAGAAAGGATGAGTATAATGTATGACCCCAAAACCAACTATAGCAGTGGATGGTGTAGCTGGTGTTACCAGTCTCTCTATTTTAAGTTTCCCTTAAATAAGGGAGGGTAATAGGAAACATGGTGATGCCACTCCTTAAACTTGCATTGAGAATCAGATTTGTGCAATGCAGTGGGTGAAATGTAGAATCTGTGAAACTATGCCCAGATCTTGCTCTGCAAGGAGCATAATTGACAGACAGTGCTAGCTGCCAGCTTTCTGGATCCACCACTACATTTGTGCAGCAGGCATACTTCCTCAGAGCTACTCTAAGTGGAAGACTGAGCAGGGCGAATTACTAATGCCAGCCCATTCTTGCTAGGTCTGGGATTCCTCTAATGTGTATTGGCCTAAAACTCTTAGAACTGTACTGATGTTTGAGACTCTCCCTCTCAAATCCTCCTTCTGCAGGTGGTAGACCTGGACTGCATTCTAAATGCTCTCTCTGACCACTCTTTCTTTCTTCCATTTATCCTTAATAGACATTTCCTCTAATAAATGTATTGCATGTTTATTCTGCTTCACAGAGTACTCAAACTAACAAAAGCATATTCCAAACCTTCTCCCAGAGGATTCCATGGGAAACTAAGTCCAGTTGCCCACAACAATTATTAGCCTGCACACCAGCACACCCTGTTTTGAACTCTTTGCATTCCCTTTCTTATATCCCTATTCCTCTACTAGTCCCTCCTAAGATTAAATTAGTGTGGTGGTTTTAAAATAAATCTACAAAGTTTTTAATACTCCTTTCAAGAGGTGGAGCCTAATTTCCCTCCTCTTGAGTATGAACTGGAATTACTCACAGAGCTCTAATAAAGAGAATGTGGCAGAAATTATGTATGTGCTGCTAATAGCTAGCAACAAACTAAGACCTCCAGCCAACAGCCATGTAAGTGAGCCCTTTCAGAATCAGAACATCTGTCCCAGTTAAACATTCAGATGGTGGCTGACAACTTGAATGCAGCTTTAGAAGAGACTTTGAAGAACTATCAAGCCATTTCCGTACTCCCAACCCTCAAAAACTATGTGAGATAAGTATTTGTTGTTTTAAGTTATAAGCTACCAGGAAACTTGTTATGCAAAAATAGACAAGTAATACACTATTAAATCCATCACACATACTCAAATCCTTCTCACAGGATCAACTGTGGAGAAATATTTGTTTTGTTTTCTTGTGCTTCATTTTATTGTGCTTTGAAGATATTGTGGTTTGTATAAATTGAAGATTTGTGGTGACCCTGTGTCGAGTAAGTCTGTTGGTGCCATTTCTTCCAAGAGTATGTGCTCACTTTGTGTTTCTGATCATTAGTATTTTTTTTAGCAATAAAGCATTTTATAATTAAACTATTAACATTCTTTTTTTAGACATAATGCTATTGCACACTTAACAGTTTATAATATAGCATAAATATAACTTTTATAGGCACTGGAAAACCAAAATATTCATGTGACCCTTTATTGTGATTTTCACTTTATTGCAGTGGTCCTGAACTGTACCTGCGATATCTCTGAGGTATGTCTGTGGGATTCTGTGAAGTTATATTTGTGTTATACATTTGTATTACTTGTCCATTTTGCTCAACAAGTCTGCCAATAACTTAGTAGCTTAAAACAACACACATTTATCTCACATAGTTTTTGAGGGTTGGGAGTGTATGTGTTTACATAAATATACACACACGTAAAACTGTACTTAAGTATGTATATATGCACACGCATACTTTATAATATATGTACACATGCATATACACACATACATACTTTAATACATGAGTCATTTAGTCACAAGAGTTTTTACTTTAAACTTATTTTGATTAATTTTTAAAAAAATTTATGTATGTTGCATCATTATTAATCACTTACTAGTATTCTATTATTTGAATGGTTTATAATGTTTATTTTCTATTTGGTGAGAAATTCAAGACATTTCCCATTCATAGGCGCTTGCTTTCTACTTCTTAAAAAATGAATAAATTATATTGGATTATAACCATTGATTAAACATGCAAAACATTTAATCACTTGTGCCTTATTCTGTGACGCAGTTCAAAATTTTACTCATCTTGCAGCTATAATTAGAGCAAAGGACAGATGGTAAAGGTTTAAAATGATGTTTTTATTAAAATTACATAGGCTGCCAAATGATTTCGCACCATCACATGTGTTTGTTCATTAGCTGCTTCATTGAGACAGGGTTAATGAAATTTGAAGTTGGATGCATAGAATAATAAGTGACTCTGGTGTCTACATATACAATGTCTGTTTACTGTTAAAGGGGACAGAAAAGAAGACTGTGACCAACTCTTCCAAATAGTTTTAGTTTAATCATATCTAAATATGATAAAATCTTCTAAGAAGTCTTAGATGAATTAATAAAGTAGATAAACAATCTGGGCATATGGAGGATTTTGATACTAGGTACGGCTTTTCTGTGTGAATATAGGTATATCTCAAATAAAAGTAAACACTAAGAGATTTTATTATGAGATAGGCCAGATGCAGTGGCTTATACCTATAATCCCAGCACTTTGGGAAGCCAGGGCAGAAAGATTGCTTGAGCCCAGGAGTACAAGACTAGCCTGGACAACATAATGAGACCCCTATCTCTACTGAAAAAAAAAAAAATAGCTGGGCTTGGTGGTGCACCTCTGTAGTCCCAGCTACTCTGGAGGCTGAGTTAGACGGATTGCTCGAGCCCAGGATGTTGAGGCTGCAGTGAGCCATGACAGGGCCATTGCACTCCAGCCTGAGCAACAGAGCAAGACCCTGTCTCAAAAAATATATATAAATAAATACAAAGAGATGAGTGCAGTGGCTCATGGGAATTCACTAGACATTAAAGACAATTGAAGTCAAGGACTCCAGTGCCATTAGTCTATTTCTTGAGTCATTTTCTCTAAATGCAGGTCAGTGTCCTCTAATTTTTTATCTATAGCATTCCTAAGTAACAATAAAACAAAAATTGTAACAACCACCACAACCATCAGTTATTAAGTATTCACTGTCAGGTACTCAATATATATTTTATCCTGTATAATCCTCACAGGAGCCCAATAAGGTGAGTACTTCCGTTATAGTCAATTTACATGTGGAAACTGAGGCACATAGATTAATAACTAGCCTTTGATTGTACATCCATTAAGTGATAAAGAAAGAATTCAAATTTAGTCCTTTGATTTGAGAGGCTCTGCTTTGTTGCTATTGTTCCACACTACAGTTCAGAGCCTCCGAGAGAGACTAATTGATTTTCTGAGTACTAAGTTCAAATTCATCTGAAATGACTTCTTGCCACAGCTTGGATAACATCCCCACACCTGGTTCAGGTCTGCTGAGAGGACTAAACTATATTGTGCTCATGGGCATTTCTGCCTGAAACAATTGGGATTATTGGATCAATGCAGGCCTTTTCTAGAAATTTTTTTTAAAAAAGGCATATGATTAGGGTACTCAGGAGAGTCTAAAGCGATGAGAACATTTGAGGAAATATCAAGTTTTTGCTAGATTTGGAAAAGTAAATAATGATAATTTTTTCAGTTTTTAATAGATGATTAAGTAGTACTTATATAAAAAAGAGCACAAAGTGATTCAAGGAAGAAATGTTTTATTCAAGTACTTCAGTGACAGCTGATTCAATTTTATAAGCTTAATTTTTAAAGTAATATTTTAAAATCAGGAAGTATTCTTTGCTATGGCTCAATTTTAAAGTACAATTTAGGGTTGAAGGACACAAATCTGTATAATACTAAATATCCTTGAGAGTTACATTTTATGCTGGGTAGAGTGCCTCTACAAGGATTTTTGGTGAATTTATGGATTGTAGAAAGTTTTAGAAAGGTTTACAGGGAGAGGTGAGTAAAGCATGTCTCATCTGTGAGTTATTTGCTCATGAATTTTTCCTATTTTCCTACTGGATCTTTGGTACTTTGCCTCTCAGTTTTTGAGAGTACTTT
This sequence comes from Homo sapiens, assembly GCF_000001405.40. Lineage (NCBI taxonomy): Eukaryota > Metazoa > Chordata > Mammalia > Primates > Hominidae > Homo > Homo sapiens. Next base: position 84,593,094 of record NC_000005.10, read on the forward strand.
AAAAATTGGGGATATTCAGCTCTTATGGTATATGTTGCAAATATTTTTCTCCTTGTTTGTCAATGTGTTTTGATTTTGGTTATGGTATATTTTTTGTCATGCAATAAAATAAATATTTTTATATAGCCAACTATATTTTTGAGTTATTTTGCATCATTTAGAAAGGAAAATTTGGAAGGTTGCTTATTACACACCAATATTGTTTATAGTTTTAGATACTTCTGGAATACTTTAAAACTATGAAGCTCAAAACTAGTATAAAACCTTGCTGGAGGGCCAAAAACAAAATAATATTTTCCTGATGTATTTATCAAAAAAGCAAATTATTTATAAAAATTAGCACATACCAGTCCGGGCACAGTGGCTAATACCTGTAATTCCAGCATTTTGGGAGGCCAAGTCAGGTGGATTACCTGAGGTCAGGAGTTTGAGACCCGTCTGGGCAACATGGTGAAACCCCATCTGTACTAAAAATGCAAAAAAATTAGCCGGGCATGGTGGTGGGCACCTGTAATCCCAGTTACTCGGGAGGCTGAGACAGAAGAATCGCTTGAACCCCGGAGCCGAAGGTTGCAGTGAGCCGAGATTGCGCCATTGCACTCCAGCCTGGACAACAGAGCAAAACTTGGTCTCACAAAACAAACAAACAAAAAATGAGCACATAGCAAACCTCTGTATCAAACTTAACTCTTACTATTCCCTAACATGAACCTTCTCAGGTAGAAAGATCTCTGTATTATGTTCCCCAGTGCCCAAACTATGTTTAGTCTGTTCTGCACATGCTATTTCCTCCTGAGAAATTTCCCCTTCTCTGTTACAAATTGGTTTGCAGCAAGGTGTTCTGTGTTTTACTGAGAAAGTTGCATATTTCATATAGTTAAGTACCATATACTAGAGAGGTGTGACAACAATGGGGGCAAAATAACTTAGTTATTAGAAGGGCTTAGGTTCAAAGGCTGCAACTACCAATACTATCACTTATTAGATGCAGACCATTATACTTAATCCAGTTGAGTCTATTTTATAAATTGGGGATTCATATTTAACATTCTAAGCTGCACTGTAAAAGTGTTATTTTAAATTTTTCTTCAATTTTAAATTTCCTTTAATTTTCACTTTTCTTTGGCCTCTTAAGACCTTTTTCTGTTTGCCCAAAGGTATTTTATTCTTTCTGTTTTCTGAAACTGAAAATATTACTAGAAACTTGTTTAATTATAAATTGTCTTCTTGCTCTTTCACATATATGCATCTTCTCTGGTGCTTAAATATTCAATACAAATGTAATTTTCTGATAGATTATTGATTGTTAAATCTTCTCTTTGCTTATACAGGTTGACAGGCAAAATCATGGCTGTGTCTTCATGACATGGCTAATTTGAAAAAGGCACAGTTTGACCTAGTCAAACCGACAGTCTAAAAAAAAAACTTTTAAAATACTTTGCTGAATTAAACCATTTACTTCCAAAATAATTGGGCAAGTAAATAAATAATTTTATTTTATGTTATCTGCAAATAAACTATCTGTGTATAAAAGAAAGTTATAGATGTTTGTATAGTAGTTTAGTGACAAGTATAAATAGATCCACATGAAAATATTTTTATTAACAAATGCAATTGTGATTTTGTATTTATATTTTAATTCTTTGTACATAGCCTTTTCTTTCAGTATGTAATCTTCATGATCATGCCAAAATATTTTACAGCTGCTCATCAATTCATAAATTAAAAAGGATGCAACTATCTTAAAAACTATCACGAACGCAAGATCATGCCAGGCTATTGATTGCATTGTTATATTTTCCTAGTTTTCTTTTCTATGTATGCATCTTTGAAGAACTAATTTCATTTGGTGAAGGATGCTTAGTAAGAGGATGAGATTTTAGTGTATTCCAATATTTCTCATCCTTTTCATTGTTACATCCTAAGCAGTCTTATTAGACATTAAAAAAAAATTCTACTAAGGAAATTTAATATTACAGACTGTATCTATTTTTGTAATGCATATATATATATATATGCATGCTCTCTATATAAAATAATTACGTTTTTTTGTTCCCCCTGAACCTCATCACCAAGAATCAGTTGTTGCTCCCACTGGGGCAGTTTTGAGAATGCATGGCATAGACTCATTAATAAACTTAAAGCCTGGCTAATTTAGACATGTCAGGACCGCATCTGATGTTAAAAACATCAGCTAAAAATCCTAATCATACTCTGAGTATTGAGGTAAAAGTAGTATTATCTCAAAGAACTTTGGATTTTCTTCCAGATCGCTCCCAACAGAACTTTATAAATGTTGAAATTCTTTTGTCTTTTAAAAATTATATGGCTCAATATAAAAGATATACATTTTTATAACATGGCACTTTCATGTTTAACCTAATTCTTGGAAAATCAGAGTACAGCAGATGTCAATTTTTGACCAGAGGAAAGGATTTTCTGTCTTTATTTAACCTTTTGTGCATATAATCTTATATTTCTTATAAAAAGCTTTATAAATGACAAAAAAGAGAATATTTGAAGATGAGTTACAAAACAAATTCTTTTAAACAGTTATTTCCTTATTACCAGTCTCTGTAAAATTTCTTTAATAACAGTGTTTTTATATATATTTAAGTTTTTATGTATTAATGTCTTTCATAGAACTTGCAGAATATTCTCACCTGATCTTGCTACAGAATTTTATTTGAAAATTTAATTAAGTTGATTTCCAAACCTCCTATTATTGTATGATTAAAATTATTAAAAAATTAATTTTAATTATCATGAATCATGACTCTTAGTTTCTTCTAATTAGAATCTATATATTTTTTCTCCTGTTGACATCTAAATATTTTGTGAAAAGTAAAAATAAATAGTTGTCACTAAATTTAAAAAGGCAGCATTCTATTATCAAGAGATTACTTTTTTTTTTCCTCTGAGGTGAGTGGGTGGAAAGCCTATATTAAGCAGGCCTATATAGTTGCAATAACTAAGAGTAGTGCTTGCTAATTGTTTTACTCTTCCAGGTTTAGTCTCTGGGATTGGAACTGTGCAGAGTGCAGGTGGGTAGAGCTGGGGAGCAGAGGCTCATCAGGGACAATGACAATAAGCTCCTCTCTATTATTCTGCACGTGAACCCATTTCCCTGTTATCTGATTTATATGTCGAGCTTCTAGAAATGTTTTTGTTGGAACAAAAGGTTCTTATATCATAAAACCAAAGGAAAACAGAAATTTACAATCACACTTGAAACTTTCAACCAAAAGGCTACTGGTTGAAAATTTGACCCAGAAAATTAACTTTTTTCTTTCCTTTTTTTTTTTTTTTGAAACGGAGTTTCACTCTTGTTGCCCAGGCTGGAGTGCAACAGCATGATCTCGGCTCACCGCAACCTCTGCCTCCTGGGTTCAAACGATTCTCCTGCCTCAGCTTCCCAAGTAGCTGGGATTACAGGCTTGCAACACCACGCCTGGCTAATTTCGTATTTTTAGTAGAGACGGGGTTTCTCCTGGTCAGGCTGGTCTTGAACTCCCGATCTCAGGTGATCCGCCATTAACACCTGAAGAGGATCCATGACAGTGTTTCTTAGATTTCTGTACCAGCCTTTGTCTGTATTCGCACAAACTTACAAATATTCCAGGGGAAAAATTCTATCTTCCCTAGTGTCTTCAAATAACATTTATTTACCTTAAGGATATACATACAAATTATTCCCTAATAAACATTACTTTCTTTAAACTTTTTATGAAGCTTCAGACTCATATTTTGTGGCTAATTAAATCATTTATGTTTTCAACTTATTCAGCTGGATTTATTTTATACGTACTACTTTCCAATCATTTTTTTAAGAACTTGGAATAGAGCATGAAACAAAACAGTATGTTCTTCTGCCAGAACATCTATCTCGATGTCCTGTAGTCACTTCAAAGACTATTTTTTCAAGAACTCCTGTTACCCTTACTATGATTAGTGGTTTCATGATTTAACTAATTATGTATACTACATTAACATTAATACTTTGAAGCATATAATCATTAATATTGTTCCTAAGGGAAAGGAAAAAAATTTAAATCTAAGGCAACATGATCAAATTTGCATTTTTTGAAAAGTATTTCTTTTTAGATTCTTATATAAAATGGTATGTATTGTGTACAACACGATGTTTTGATATATATATATCTGTATATCATGAAATGGCTAAATTCAGCTAATTAACAAATGCATTACTTCACATAGTTATTATTTTTGTGGTGCAAATGCTTATCCACTCTCTTAGCATTTTTCAAGAATAGAACATATTGTCATAAGCTATAGTCACTATGCTGTACAGTAGATCTCTTGCACTTATGCATCCTATCTGGCTATAAATATGCATCCTTTGATCGACATCTCCCTAATGCTCCATGCTTCTATCACCCTAGTCTCTGGTAACCACCATTCTACTCTCTATTTCTATGAGATCAACTTTCTTAGACTCCACATTTGATTGAGAACATACTGTATTTGTTTTTCTGTGCCTAACTTACTTCACTTAACAGTGTGTCCTTTAGATTCACCCATATTATCACATATTACAGAATTTCCTTTGTTTTCATGGCTGAATAGTATTCCTTTTGTGTGTATATATACCACATTTTCTTTATCCATTCATCTGTTGAAATTTCCATTTTAAAAGTGTGGATTTTTGAAAGATGGTGGTGACAGGAACATAATCAAATCTATCTCATCTCTGTATAAAGGCAGGCAAAACAACTAGTAAGTCTAAGCCAATGACACGAACGATATTCACAGAAAAAATAGGTAATAAGGCATCCCTGTGGATTTCATATACCAGTAAGTTGGCAAAAATGCCTACGTTTACTTGGCCTGTAAATTGTTGGCCTCTCAATGGGAAGAAGTTGAAGAAAGAAACAGAAATTCTGATAGCTTGGAGAAATGTTCCCCAGATACACACTGAAAAGATTTGGGGGCAGATCTGAGGAGAAGAACAAGTGAATTCATTCCCAGCAATTCACAGGAAATGCAAAAAGGCAGTGATGTGACAAAGTTTAACAGCGATGGAGCAGTGGAATCCTGTGGCTTAGTGAAACTAACAAGACAAAGCCCCATGCTAAGGAGAAACTGCTGGGAGTTGAATTTAAAATGAATAACAAAAGGAAATAGGGAAAGAGAAGATTCAGACAAAAGTAGAAAATCAGACTAAGGAAATTATATAAACATTTTTGATCAATTTGCCAAAACAACAGAAGAGTGATCTATAGAGATTAAAAAAAAATCACATTACTTCCAAAAAAAACCTAAAGTTTTCCTAGGCCACTCAAACACCCTAAAAGCATAGAAAAATTAATTTCACATAATAAAAAACAACAAAAAAGTTTTAGTCAAATTTTATCCTTAATTTATGATTTAAAAAAAAGCATAAGAAGCAGAGTAACATCCCAATGAGCAGTAAAGTGCTATAGAGTGACTTGCTCACAGAACAGATGAATACAGTCACCTAGTATCTCAAAATGATCAAAAACTCATTTTAAAATGATAGATGCTATGAAAGAACAACACAAATCAATTCAGAAATAAAATGATTTGAGATGAAGATTTGATGAAAGAAGATACACTCAGAAAATAAAATAAAATTCAGAAATGGAAATGAAATAGAAAGGAACATCATGGTAAAAATGAGTGATATTAGAAAAAATGTAAGATTGAAAGTGTGAAAATTTTACAAATAAAAAAGACACAAAAATTTAGAATAAAATATGATACACAGGAGGTATACACACATATATAACTCCTCCTTTTTTTTCTTCAGGATGGAGAGAAAGAGCTCCTGAATAACAAAAAAGAAAAAAATTCCTATGAAACAAAGCAAAAAATAAGCATACGTAAAGAAAAATTTCTTAACGTAAAAGATAACTTCATGCTACATACTCAAAGGACATTGCTAAAATCAACTGAGAAAGGCAAGACATTATACTGTCAAACTTGTCAATCTACAACATTGTAAAGAAAAAGGAAAAAAATCTTTTGGGAATTCAGGCATAAAGAGCAAGTCATTTATAAAGAAAAGAAATTCAGATTGTCTTTATAGTTTTCACAGGAACATTTTATTCTAGAAGAAATTGAAATAACGTATGTAAGACATTTAATAGAAGAAAATATGAGCCATAAATTTTTATATCTAGTCAAAATGAATTTTAAATACATAGGCTTCCAATAAACTGACTTGAATGTGCCAAGATATTCTCATAATCACTTACTGAAAAATCTACAAACTTAAGGCAAACATAAAATGAAGACATTGACATCAGAAAGAAATGATAAGCTTTAAATATATTTTTACCTATTTACTGGAGTAAAATAGATAACTTAGTAATGCAGTGCTCTATGCTCTGCCAATGTGTATATGCTAAATTTGTTAAAAGTGTAGGAAGAAGCAGGACCGTGTATGAGTATTAACTGGGTTAGGCAACAGCCTTACTTCAACTCAGATCCTGGGGTGACAGAGTGTTTTGGAAAGAAAAGGTTACACGCTCACTTATATATACTAGCTCACAATAGGAAACCATAAAAAAATAGGGATAAGAGAGAGTGTCAAATTATTATATTAATTTTTTAGTCTAAAATTAAAATTTTGAAAACATAAAACACTCCCTAAAAGACAAAATACATTCATTCCTCTGAAACAGAGAGACAAAATAATATGACATAACTGATCAAATATAATGATGTAAATTGGATTAACTCAATAAAATAAAAGTATCTGTGGAATGATGATTGACTAACAAAACTAATTCAACATTCCGCTATTAGTACAAGGCTCACTTAAATACATACAGACAGTTAAGAATTAAAAAGATAAAGAAATCTACAAGAGAAATTCAAGCAAAGGGAGAAGAAGTCACAATATTAATATCTGATTAAAACAAAAATCAGGTAAAAAGTGAAATGTGATAGTTCCTTTGAGCCCTTTGTGAGACTTGAGAAGGAGTTTGTTGGTTTACTCAGCTCGCAGCTCTCAATCCCTTGCAGGAGGGGGAGCACACAGGTGAGCCAGTGCACAGGCCAGTACAAGTGCTTCTGGGCAGGCAGGAACAGAACTATATGCGGGCCTGTGGTAGCATCTAAGGGTGGCCCGTGAACCCCAGAGCCCCAGAGGTCATTTGTTACAGTGTGCTCTTTTAGCTTTGCCATCCCTGGATGGCTAAAGAGTTAAACAACTTAGGAGAGAGTCAGTGTGACAGCCTCTTGCACACACACCTGGGTCTTTGCTTCCAGGAAGAATCAGGTTGTGCAAATGAATCAAAGGGTGGTGAATATGGAGGATTTTACTGAGCAGTGGAAGTCGCTCTCAGCTGAATGAAGAGCTGGAAATGGGATGGAGTGGGAAGGTAGTCTTCCCCTGCAGTTTGGCCATCCTGGCTGAACTCTTCTTCGAGGTTCTACTATAAAGCCGTCCCTCTGAAATCAAGCTGCTTCTTTCCAGTGTCGGGCTGCTTCTTCTCTTCTCTCCTTCCCTGCTGTTCTGCCACACCACCAGTGGGGCCTCGGGTTTTTATGGGTACAGGATGGGGAGCAGGGTGGGCCAGGGTGGTTTGGAAAAAAAAAAAAAAAGCATTTTGGCAGGCAAACAGGAATGCATGTTCTCATTTTGGGCTGTAGTTCCAGCTTGAGAAGATGGCCCTCATTGGGGACTGCCCTCTTCTCCCCAGTATTTCCCTGACTCCTGTCTGTATCAAAAGTATTAAAAGAAACAAAAGGCCGGGCGCAGTGGCTCACGCCTGTAATCCCAGCAGTTTGGGAGGCCCAGGCAGGCGGATCATGAGGTCAGGAGATCGAGATCAACCTGGCCAACACGGAGAAACCCCGTCTCTACTAAAAATACAAAAAAATTAGCCGGGCTTGGTGGCGGGCGCCTGTAGTCCCAGCTACTCGGGAGGCTGAGGCGGGAGAATGGCGTGAACCCGGGAGGCAGAGCTTGCAGTGAGCCGAGATCGCGCCACTGCACTCCAGCCTGGGTGACAGAGCGAGACTCTGTCTCAAAAAAAAAAAAAAAAAGGAAAAGAAACAAAAAAGGACATGGTATAGTCCTAAAGGCTACATTCACAATGAAAATTGATTTATTAATACTTAAATACTCAATAACAAACCGTTAATTTTCTTAAAACAGGACACATAAACTATGCAACAGAAACACACTAATGACAGGATAAACTTTCTGAATCCAAGACTAAGCAACTTGAGCAAACATTAGTAAGCTTGTAGAAGGTCTAAAAACATAATCATTGATGTTATATATATATAATTTATATAATATAATTAATCTTAAAAACATATAACTAATCCTAAAATATATAACTAATCCTAAAAATAGATAATACAGCCTACTTTCAAATGCACATAACACATTCATGAAAATTGGCCATATTTTAATCTACAATATCAGCCATATATATATATTTTTAATATATATCATATATATATTTATATATAATATATATAAATATATATATATATATATTTTATATATATATATATATATATATATAGTGTTTATACAGCTAAGCTGTAATCACACTTCTCTTCCCTGGATGGTTTTGGGTTAGTGCTCTGCTTGCCACAAGAAAAAGGTTGTGAGAGACATGCAGAAGTGAAGCAGCCGCCATGTTCACACTTAGGTCAGTGCAGTTCAGGCAGGTTGTAAGGGATCTGCTGGCGCAGTTTGTTGCAGAAAGGTAGCAGCGGGGTCATTAACTCCTGCAATTCGCACTGAGTATCCCTCCTTTTTCAGTATTGCCAAGTCCTGGACCAGTTTGTGTACAGGTCTCTGGCCAACTGTGTCACCTCTTCTGCATTTCACCTGCACCGTCAAATGCGGAGGACTGGAGGCACTGAGAGACTGATGCAAACTCTGGAGAGAAACTGAGGTGAGTTCTAATTCCTTCTCAAAATTCCAATATTCCGTCCTCCTTTCCAGACTTCAGGCCCACCACTAAACTAGGGACTCAGACTTTACATTGACTTCTTCACTGGCTCTCGTAATTACTTTAATTCGAATCTCTGTAACGAATTTCTTATATCACTCCTAGTGGTTCTGTGAAAGATTTCATTTTTCAGAACTGGCTTTAACAATATTTCCCACCCCACTTGTTCTTCCAGAACATTATTATTCCTTCATGAAAAGGTAAATTCTATTGCCCCTCTTTTTGCTTCTTGAAACTGAAAGACGCTTTCTATTCCTCAACTAATGAAGTTGGACGGAAGTGACTACTGAGACTTCTGAGTCTAGGACATAGAAAGTGATAGAGCTTCTGCTGACTCTCTCTTAGGATGCTTGATCTTGAATCTCAGACACCAAGTTGTGAAGAAGTGCAGGACACATAGAGAGGCTCACATAAGAAGAAGCAAGACCTTCATCACTCAGTCCAAGCTAGGTTCACAGCCACATCTTGCAAAAACTCGCCAACCATGTTAATGAATCATCTTGAAAGTAGATTCTTCAGTTTTCAGTTAAGCAATGCCAATTAATGCTGAATGGAACAGAGACCAGCCTTCCCCACTGAGACCTATTTACTTGCAGATTTCATGAGAAAAATAAGTGGTTACCATTGTTTTAAGCCACTGAATTTTGGGAGAGTCTGTTGCCCAATAATAGATGACTAGGGCAGTCATTTGATATTGCCCTAATGAATCAGCCTACAGCTCTCTTTCTTCTGTTATATGTCATGTTTGGATAGTCATATGATTCCAGTGAGCATCAGGTATTCCTGCTGCCCTCCAAAAGATATACTAATAAAATAAAAACGAAAGTCTCAATCGCAAAAGAAGCTGTGGTTTAGGTGGCAAAGCATATTAATTGTTTTGTACCTTTCTTCTCTTCCTCCTTTTTTACTGGTCCTTTTAACATACCTAGGAGGCTGGGAGGAGAGTGATTGTTTTAGCCCTTCTCTGGAGTCAGTTTGCACGCAGAAAATGTCAGCCAGCACTTGATTCTTCTGATAGGTATAGTGGCAGTTTCTTAAGTAGACAAACTGTAGTTGTAAATATTTTCATCTCGCCTAATTATTGGTCCAAGGGATTGTTGTCATTTCTCTCATTAACAGCTTTGCAGGAATTAGAAGCCATTTGTAAGACCCAAATTTATTAACAAAGCTCTAAGAATTGATATATTTTAACTCAGATGATATATAGAAAAAGATAAGGAAATATTTCATTGTTAATGTGTCTGATTATCTTCTAGAGAATACACAGAGTATAATGCTAAACAAAAAACAGTTCAGTGATCAAAAGCATTGTTTTAGGTTATCATCTGTATTTAGTATACAGCACTTCAGATAATGTAAGCTTTGAGAATAAAGAAAAATATAGAACATGTTTGCAAAATATTTATTTCCAGTAAAACTTGGGGCATGTCCATAACTGATTGATTGATCAGACTATCTAAATCTCCTTTGGAAGCTGCAAGGAGAAATGTTGGAAACTTTCTATAGTGATTTTTACTTGGATTCCCGTAACTTATTTACCAGCATCTACTTGAACTTTCTTACAAGAAGTCCCTACTGACATATTAGTGAATACTGGTTTTAAAAAGTATCAAATTAACAACATTGTTTTTTAAACAAGACATGTTATTTAAACTGTCTTCATTCCCTTATGCTAAGTCACTAGAAGAATTTAGCATTTCCAAAACAGGATATGGCACTCACTGATACCTTGTTAGAGAATGAGAAGGATAATGAATACTTTATTCATCTCAACTTCTAAGACTATTTAAATTATGTTTTCCCTTTTTCCCTTAGTAAGGAATTAAAATTTCTAAGAACTCTTTCTGCTAAGAACCTGAAAATGTGTTCTTTAGTTGTAAGTACTGAGTTGACTCATTGTTAATTCAAACCAGGCCCTGGGCACGTTGCCTCAAGTTGAAGGCTGTGGTTGGAAATTATACCATGGATGTTTTTTAAATGGTTCCACTGTATATTACATAACACTTGTGGGATTTTTGTGGAGGCCAAGGACAAGAAGTAAAAGATATAGTGCCACAAACTTCAGACTCTACTCATTTGTCACTCTTCGTGTTTATACATGACAGGTAATTATAATACACATTTTTATAGGCCTTCTCTGTGGAAGGTAAAGGTTCACAATTGTCCCTCCTTATGGAGTTAATGGAAATAAATTATTGGAGGAATGTTTTATGCCAGAGCTTGCACTAGGTGGTAGAGGAGAGATTGGAAGTCAATTTAGATAGGACATGGACTGGCTCTTGAGGAGTTTATAGCCAAATAAGGGAGAAAGACCTACACCCTCAGGGATACTCTGATAAATATTCTAATAGATGTCAGAATATGCTACTATGGAAGAATAAAAAAATATGAATTAAGTAGAAGGAAATTCAGGGAGGGCTTTCAGAGAAAAAAGAGAAGAGTTATTCTATTTTAAGGAAAAAAATACACACTAAATATAAAAACCCAAAAAGCATATTTTCTAAGGATATGTAGTTAAAGTTAGGTTACAGCGTATAGACACATAAGTATGAGGGAAACCTACCTTATATCCACTTTGGAATTTAAGTGAGTCTAATGATTTCCTTGATTTGTGACTTGTGAATTAAAATTTCATCATCTCACTTAAAAAAAAAATAGATCCTTAAGTTTATTTATTTCAACAGCTTTGCAGGCCTCTTGTTTTATTGTTCAGTTCTTTGATTTCCTGTACTTCAAACTTAATTCTGTCAAGTTTAATTTTCTCCACTTATGCAGCTGTATCATGTATCTTTAATTGACATATGTTGTAGATGAAAATATAAATCAGTTGTTATATGTTCCTTTTCCAGACTCCTAAAGGTACTGTTTACCACAATGAACACACTTTTATCATGTCAACAACTTCCATCTCTACATTGCCCTGTGTAAGAATATACTGGGAGCTGATATAACCTCAATGATGGTAAAACAGGATGTAGAATCCAGAAAACATTCCTGAAATGGACCAAACATCAATATTCTGAAACAGAAGTGGAAATGAAACTGAAACAGAAAAAGTGAATTGGGTAATAAATATACTAAAGAACAATTTTTCTAATAGTTGGCAGAAGGTGGTAAGGTAAGTTCAAAAAGTTCATCTGTGAGTAAAGGCACATTATTGTGAGGTGGCTTTCTTAACAGATTCAGGAATCTTTATTCAGAATCTTCATACACTGTGTTTGTGCATGCTATGAAATCCTAGTGGTAGAAATATATTTTAGGGTTGGGATCTAAGTTAAACAGTGGTAGAATGGATTTGACATATTCACGTGATTGGCTTTGTCAGAAATGTGTCTGAAAACTTGCCAGACCAATCGCGTCAGTGTCATTTGCAATAATCCAGATGACAGAGTATGTCAGTGAAATATTTCCCCAGAATGTGGGAGCATCATCAGCTGTCTCAGTGTAGGCTATTTTTACTATAGGAAGTGAAAATGTTTATCTTCCATCTTGTAATACAGAAAGGCAAACTGTATTGTCATAATATAAATACTCAGTGGCCATGAATTTTGAGACTATGAGAAGAAACAATAGAATATAAGATTCTAATATGGCTATTTATGAAAAAAAAATAGAGAAGATAAATCAGAGTTGAAGCATTCAATTATGCAAATGAGCAAGAGAAGTTTGCTCATAACAGAGAGACAGCAAGTTATAATATAAAGACCATCGGGGCTGGGCGCGGTAGCTCACGCCTGTAATCCCGACACTTTGGGAGGCCGAGGCTGGTGGATCACGAGGTCAGGAGATCGAGACCAGCCTGGCCAATATGGTGAAACCCTGTCTCCACTAAAAATACAAAAAAAAAAAAAATTAGCCGGGCATGGTGGTGGGCACCTGTAATCCCAGCTACTCTGGAGGCTGAGGCAGAGAACTGCTTAAACCCGGGAGGCGGAGGATGCAGTGAGCCGAGATCATGCCAAGAGCTAAACTCTGTCTTAGAAAAAAAAAAAAAAAAAAAAAAAAAAAAAGAACATTAGGGCTGGGCGCAGTGGCTCATGCCTGTAATTTGAGCACTTTGTGAGGCCAAGGCAGGCAGATTACTTGAGGTCAGGAGTTTGAGAAGTTTGAGACCAGCCTGACCAACATGGTGAAACCCCGTCTCCACTAAAAATACAAAAATTAGCTGGGCATGGTGGCGGGTGCCTGTAATTCCAGCTATTCAGGAGGCTGAGTCAGGAGGATTGCTTGAACCTGGGAGGCAGAAGTTGCAGTGAGCTGAAATGGCACCAGTGCACTCCAGCCTGGGTGACAGAGCGAGACTCTGTCTCAAAAACAAACAAACAAACAAAAAAACAAAAAAGAACATCAGGCCCCATGTTTTGAAAGAATTGATCTAACAAATAAATTGCAATTATAAATCATAATCAATTTTCCCCCTTCTCAGTTTAACAATCTCAATCATGTAAACATTTACAATTTCCCTTTCATCTTGAAACATAGCTTTAGACATCCATTATTTCCTTCATGAGTGTCTCGGCATCACACTTCTGCGATATAGGACCTACTTTACTTGCTCTACTATTTCATGATCCAGAGAAGGTCATTGGCTTCCTCAAGTTTGCATGGGAAAAAGGGTATGCATTTGACAAATAAGCATATAACAAGATGCTCAACATCATATGTCATTATGAAGTTGTAAATTATAACAGCAATGAGATACTACAACACACCTATTAGAATGACCAAAATTCAAAACACTGAAAACACTAAACACTAGCTGGGACGGGTACCAACAAGAACTTTCATTCATTGCTTGTGGGAATGCAAAATGGTCCAGGCATTTTGGAAGTAAGTATTTCAATTTCTTACAAAACTATTCATACTCTTGTCATATGATCTAGAAATTATAATCCTTGATATTTACCCAGATGAGTTGAAAACGTTTGTCTATGTAAAAACCTGCACACGAATGTTTACATTACCTTTATTGCCAAAACTTGGAGGCGACCAAAAGTTGTTGAGTAAGTGAATGAATGAATAAACTATGGTAAATTTATAGAATAAAATATTCAGCAATGAAAATGGCGAAACTTTGGAGACAGTAAAAAACAACAGCAGTTGCCAGGAGTTTGTGGAGAAGGAGAAAGGGAAGAAAAGGTGGAACATAGGCAGTTTTTGAGAAGTGAATGACTATATGCTGTATTACACTGTAATGGTGCATATATTTCTTTACAAATTTCTCAAAATCCATAGAATGTATAACACAAAGAGTGAACTCTAATGTAAACCATAAACTTTAGTTAATGATGTGTCAATACTGGCTTATGAATTATTAAAAAAACTACCACTTTAATTTAAGATGTTAATAATGGAGAAAACTGAGGGAAGATAATGTTTTATGGGAACCTTGTATTTTCTGCTCATTTTTCTGTAAACTTTAAACTAAAAAAAAAGCCTATTAATTAAATTTACAAGCTAAACTAAAAGATTGCATTGGTAGTTTCAGTTTGAATGAGTACAATTAGTGTTCTTAAGCCCTACTACATTGCTACTTTTAATATATGATCCTGCCTTCTTGAATACTATAATATTATCTTGCTTTTGATTAAATAATCCATATTGAGGAAAAATGAGTTAGAGTCATGTTCTAAAATGGAATTGTAGACAAAGTTATTGTGTTAGGGTGTTTTCCAGGGAAACAGAATCAATAGGAGATATATATAAATATATATATATATAATATATATATACGTGTATATATATATAAAATATATATACGTGTGTATATATATAAAATATATATACGTGTGTATATATATAAAATATATATACGTGTGTATATATATAAAATATATATATACGTGTGTATATATATATATATATGTATATATAAAGTGCACAAAAGAGGGGATAGGGGATTTATTCTGGGAATTGATTCACATGATTATGCTGTCTGAAAAGTCCTATGATATGCTAATATGCCATCTGCAAGCTGGGGAATCAGGGAAGCCAGTGGTATAATTGAGTAAGAGTTCAAAGGCCTAAGAATCAATAGAGACGGTGGTGTAACTCTCAGTCAGAAGCCGAAGACCCAAAAACCTGAGGGGCTGCTGATGCATGTTCTGGAGTCCAGAGTTTAAGAACCTGGAGTTCTGATGTACAAGGGCAGGAGAATATAGAGATCTCAGCTCCAGGAAAGTGAGAGATTCTTCTTTCCTCTACCTGTTCTATTCCTTCCCTCAACCAATTATATGGTGCTTGCCCACGCTGGTGAGGGTAGATGCTAATCTCTTCTGGAAACACCCTCATAGACCTGCCCAGAAATAATGGTTTACCAGCTAGCTGACTGACTATCCCTTAACCCAGTCAAGTGGATGCTAAAAATTAACCATCACAGTTATTAATATGATGTAATGGATATGACAATAATCCATGTACTTAAAAATATAAGTATTATTAATGACAGCAGCCACTCCTTAACCCCCTAAACTCCTGTCATAACTCAAGCTAAGCATTTTTTCTTATACTATCTAATTTCATACTTAAAAACCTGTAAGTTGGTTATTACACACATATAGATGAGATGAAATATAGATTTTTATTACATACATATAGATTATATTATTTATTAAACACATATAGGTTAATCTCAGAAGGATTCAATAACTTGCCCAAGCTCACACAGCTAGAGAGTGCCAGTAGCTATTATTTCAACCAAGTGTGTGCTGCTTATGACAGCACACTGACTTTCCATTTTTCTCTAAATACCTCATATAATGAGTGAGCATCCTTTTTTATCTCAAAAATAAGTAACTAAAAGATGGGAAAATTATTACCAGGGTTAAGACCACAAACACACCTCCTTTCTTTCTCAAATTGTATGAATAAATGTATGTAGCAGGAGTAAAGACCAACTCAGTACAGGCAATCTGTTTAAATGAGAAGCTGAGTTTACAGCTGGTGGGATTACTTTTTTTCTGCGCCTGCATCTCGAACCCATGAATTGCCCTTGCTGCTGCTGAAAACCTAGTACTCATTCACTTAAACTCATATGATTATATTGTTATCTCTCCAGAAATCCATGCTTCCTAACTTCTCACTTCAAGAGCTTGGAAATGTGCAAAAACCCATACATCTCAAAGTAAAAAAAGAAAACAAAAACAAAAACAAAAACCTCTTGGTATTATCAGCTTATTATTTTTTTTAAAAAAGCCAACAAAGACCAAAAAATAAAAACAAAAATAAAAATAGTATGATTGTACGAACAGTAATTTGTGCTTGTAGAAATTTTCCTGCAAACTATTCCTAATAACAGGGAGAGTGAAAAGTTTTCCTACCTGGTATGTACACATAGCCAGAAGCAGCTCCCTGTAAGTACAAGCTATTTTAAGGTCTTTCTCTCTAAATCCCATACAGTTTTTCCACTTTCTCCATCATCTATTCAAGTTCATTTGTCTATTTAAAAATATTCTCTTTTTATATAATGTTTACTTTAAAAATTCTTGATACTGGAAGATGCAACCATTTATTCTGGCATCAATTACCTTTATCACTTTTTGGCATGCTTTTATTTCTGCAAATATAAAATTCACTCTAGATTCTACCTGGTCTATTCTTTGGATGTTTAGTTACTTCAAGTAGGTAATTTGTAATCAATGTCACTCACATTTTAATGAAATTAATTGAGTAATCTAAAATGTTGTTTGAATCATTTTAACTATATCATTTTTTTCTCTAGTTAGTAAATCAGTAGGTAAACATGGTAATGCTCAATAAGACTAGCTGATGACTAACAGTTGCGAATGTGTTGGTGTGTAAAGGGAGTAAGTGTTCCTATTAAACATATATGTGTCCCAAAACACAGATAACAATCACTTTGATTTTCTATGCTATATTGTGCAATTGTAAGCCAAGGGTCTTGAAACTCTCTGATTTCATTGTATTCCCTGGTTGCCTTTGATCTTACTGTATTAACCTCTGAGATGAATTACATGTACAGCTTAATGAACAGGTTTTAAGTTCATTATGTCTTCATATGAAATAGCAAGGAACAATCAACAAGAGCTTGTTCCCAAGGATATAAAGTTGGGAACGACTTCCCATGGTGTTCTAAGGGTGTCTGGTGGTGAATATTTTTGAGGCTGTCCTTTTAGAAATAGACTGATTTGCTTATTCTCTAATTTCTGAGTTCATTAGATACAATCATGAGATAAACCATAGTTATTTTGCTGCTCAGCAGTCTAGCTTTACAAAATCAAGCTATCTTCTTCTTACATCCTTGAACAAATGGAATGATCGTGGCTTATGAACTGAGATTCAGTAATCTGTGCAGTGGTGATGATATTTCAAACAAAAGCTCATGATTTTTTAAAGGTAAGTCACATTTTTAAAAGAAGAGCTACAAATAAATTATTTATAAGATACATTTAACAGAGAGGGATGAAAAATGAAAATCCATTCCAAAAATTTCAAATTTCAGCTTTATCTTCCATGCATTAAATTTCAAATGTGTTTTTATTTAGATAGAGGATAAGTAAATCTATGTTTTCATATATTCATATTAAATTCATCGTGTGATTTATTATTTATGACAAAAACTCAAGTTTTGATAAGGCATATACCTAAGGAAAAGAACTTTCTGTGTTTTTTGCACAGAGGATTGAATTCCTCAGAAGCTTTTGTTGAATAATATCAAGGGTAATAAATAGTCTCCTATTTCTATTTATAATTCAAACTTGGAAATATAGTTGATTTTGTCTTTGCATGCTTTACTCTGGCTCTGGACTACCTTTTTATATTTCCTTGGATAAACCAATTGTAACGAAAATTTCTGTACTGATTGTGATGTGCGTTCCAGTCTCAGGGAAGACACCAGATCCATGAGTGCTAGTGATGGGTAGGGAAGGCTAATGAGACTCAGAAACCATAATTTGTCCCCCTTCTAGTTGCAGACTCTGCCTGCTTTGTCTACTACCTGTTGATCTGCCATGATAAAATTTATCGTATCTGGTATTTTGCTTCATCCTAAAAGGATTTCATAGACTGGTGAGCTAATAACTTTTGCATAAGGAGACTAACAGAAACTTGTTAAGTGACAGGCTTTCTCTCCCCTTCTGCTCCTAAAATGTGCATTAAAATTCTTTTCTAGAGAGATCTTTTCTGTTGAATCCCCTTGCTATTGAGACACTGGGGATTGCTGGGGACTAAGTGATTTTAAATGCCGCAAAAATTTTCCACTTTACTTAAGTATCATTAATTTAATTTTACCACTACAGTGCAATGTTTGTTGCCTGAAAAATCTTGTGATTGAGTGTGAGTCTATGATATGTCAAACAACACCAAAAGTCCATTATTAAAAATATATATATTAGTGGCCCTAGATTGGCATAAGAGCTCAGGAAATAATATCCAGGCAACTATACATAAGAGAAAGAAACTTCTGAGACAAACACATAAATTTCTTGGTTAAGTGTCTTGAGTTACCAATATAAGAGAAGCTTGCAAAGACATAGATCTCAAGTTATAGCTTTCCTAGAGAAAAAAAAAAATCCTGTTCATTAGTTATATATATTTCTCAATAAAAGAAAAAACGCTTTTCTATAAAATTCCTTTTTAAGGCAGAACCTCAATTTACAAAGAACTAAAGCTATACTTCAGCTTTGCCACAATCAGGGATAATTATAGCTAAACTAACCCAAGATTTACCACAATATACTTATTTCTACCTCCAGTGTTTTATGATGAAACATATTTTTCTAAGTCAGCTACTAAAATGCTAACTTTTCACAAACACTAAGGCCAACTAACATTTCAAAAGACATAATTTATTTTTAATAAACAATAATGCATGAATGCATGTCTTATATCACCTTAATTATTACCAATATGGCTGAAGTGTCCTTTAGCCACTAATCCATAAAACCAGTTACCTCCTAGCCATACCAAATTTTAAATTAAAAATATAATAATAACCTAGAAGGCAAAAGTAGTAAGGTGGAGAAAAAATAGCTCTGTGGAACAGCTAAATGTGAATTTAGAGGCTTGTTTTTATATTGCTAGCTCTACGCTGCAGGGCAAATTTGTTAGCTTCTCTGACTTTCAATATCCTTAAATGTAAAATGCCACGTGGTACATATTTGTAGATATAATGTGCATAATGTGACTGTTAGGTACTAGGTCTAAATAATGTAATTAGTAAAGAAACTACAGATGCAAAAATATTGGAAAGGCAAAGACATCATGAAAAATCCCCGATTATGACCTGAAGTCAAAGAAACACAAGCTTAGTAAAATTATTTGGACATTCTCCACCAAGAAACTGAAGATGAGTTTTCCTGATGTCACACCCCCAAAGTGAATTCTAGAAGAGGAAAAATCACATTCCTCCAAGACACTTGAGTGTTCGCTCCAACAAAGCAGCTCTGGAGCAAAAGGCAGGAGCAGTGTGAAAAGCAGAAATCTTTGGTTTTTTTTTTCCCAAAACAAAGCAAAACAATACCTTACTTCCAATTTTCAAAATGTAAATTTTGAATCATTAACAAAATAGGACTTCTGATCTTAATTTATCATGCCAGAAAAAAGAAATCAAAATTCAAAACTACATGGATTTAATAAACTTAAGTCAATCCCACGTTGACTATTTCATTTTCACAATGCTGTTGCTAAGGAGAAATAGATAATATAAACACATCCCAAATGATGTTTAAAGAAAGCCACATATACCTCTTTGAATGTAAGGTGCTCAGGTGTCCTAAACCATGACCGTTCCTATGGGCCAGGTTTGTATACTATTTAATAAGAGCACTATCTGAGAGTTAGCCTTTGTTATAGTACCCAACGTGGGGATATTCCCTCCAAATTTGTATTATTACAATATGTAACATGCTCAACCAGTGACTTCAACTTTGAAGTTTCCATGATTGCAAATTTAAAGAATGCAAGCTTTAGAAATATTAGCATACAGAGAGGCGGGATGGAAGGAGAGGAGAAACATTTGAATGTAAAAATCATTGATGGAAATAAAAGGAATTAGGTGGAGAGTCCTTTATTGCCTTGCAAACATGATGTGATAGCTTTTGTAAAACCAGATTGAAAAATAGGCAAAATTTCAATTCTGAAGGAAAAAAGATTGGCATAGGTATGAGATGAATAAATGTTTTAAAGAGAAGAAAAAATGGGCTGGCTATGGGGTGAATAAAATTTGGCTCCCTTGAAATGAGAGAATTGGTTAATTTCTAACAAAACAAAACAATAGAAAAGTAACAACAAATAACTTAGTAGAAAGTGGCTGGAATGAAAAGCAAACATTTGTCACAACTGTGATATTACGTAGATTTTGTAGTGTACAATTTATTTTTAATCTCAAGTATGCAACAAGAGCTTCAATATATTCTCCAATTTTTCTGAAAGCATTATAAATTAGAATAAAATTTCAAACATATTAATGAGTAGCAGATCATTCTTAAAGGGATGTTCATATTATTGGGCCACTGACTCATTCATTTGGTTGATTCCCCATATTTTACATATTCTTTTAATACAGTAAGTATGGAATAAAATATTAACTGAAATTTTAAAAATCATCAACCATCAATTAATTATATCCTCATTTTTCTTTAGTCAATTTAAGATTGACATTTAGCATTTAAAGATAGATATCCTATGAAAATCTTATATAATCATTGGTGGGAAAGCTTCAAAATACTTGTCAGCTTAATTTGAAGAAATACTGCCATAGACTTTATGAAATTTTACCCACAGAATTACAAAACTCGGGCCAGGCACAGTGGCTTATGCCTGTAATCCCAGAACTTTGGGAGGCCAAGCCGGGCAGATCACCTGAGGTCAGGAGTTCGAGATCAGCCTGGCCAACATGGTGAAACCTCGTCTTTACTAAAAATACAAAAATTACTTCAGCGTGCTGGTGCACGCCTGTAGTCCCAGCTACTCAGGAGGCTGAGGCAGGAAAATCGCTTGAACCCGGTAGGTGGAGGTTGCAGTAGATCACACCATTGCGCCATTGCATTCCAGCCTGGGTGACAGAGTGAGACTCCACTTCAAAAAAAAAAACTTATAATCTAATTGGGAAGTTAAGCCTAATTTTTTTTCTTCTTTGACTGACAAACTGTAGGAGTTGAGGAAAATAGATTTTTTCAATGTTATGCTAATGTATTTATGAGTTTATTTTAAATAAAAAATTTATAAGTATGAAAAATGATATTTGTATAAAGGGAGCCAGGAAGGTATTAAATATCTATAGCAGTGTTAATACTAATAGACAAGTATTTTAAGATTTAACTAAACATGACGCCATCCTCTATTTTGATCAGTGCTATGTTTACATTGAATAAGAAAATAAAACAAATACCCATAGGATACTTTATCTAGACTTTTTCCACATGTCCAAATTATTTGAAAAAGCAGCTTTTTTCTTCATTAACTGGATTTTAATTAAGATATAATAGTTATAATATTTTAAAAACTATTGTATGAAACCAACAAGGTTTGCATTGACTGCTGAGATTCATGGGACACTGACATATTTTGGCACTACTAAGGAACATACTGAAATCTCTCCAAGCCATCAAACACATCATCCAGGCCATTAGCAGTATATATATATGTGTGTGTGTGTATATATATATATATGTGCGTGTGTGTGTGTGTATATATATGTGTGTGTGTGTGTGTGTGTGTATATATATATATATATATATATATATATATATATATATATATATATATAAAAGTTTTGTTTGTATTTTCAGGAAAGATTAGGAGCAGCAAGATGTTTTGGGTAAAGTGTGAGCCAAAGTATTGATGTGTTAGTTAGAAGTGCTAATAGAAACCTTTTTTGGTTCGTTGTTCCCCTCTCAGCTTAGATTTTACTTTCTGTCATTGTTATTTATTTCTTATTTATTTATTTTGGAAGAGAGAGCAATTCTATGCACTGCCTTGGTAGCCAGAAAGAACAGCTGGTATTTTCTATTCTTGAAAGGGGTGCCAAGGATAGAAATACGTGGGTAACTGGCGGTGTAAAAGACTTTGAAATCTGTCTCAGCAGCTGTCACTGCAATGGGCATAGTACAAATATGCAAAATGTTGCTCTTCACTGCCAAAGCCTTCTGTACTTTTGGCAACATGTTCCCACAATTCTGAATGTTGCATGGTTGCCTTCAAGGTACCCAGGCTATGTGGGTCAATTGCGTAGAAAGATGCTGGATCTTTCCTTCCATGGAATGCTTGCCAAAGGAAAAACAAGGGGAAGGTGTTGCTATCTTTGTTTCACTGACTTCATATAAGCCCATTAATTTGATTTTTTTTCTTATGGTCAACTAAATTTTAAAAAATGTATTGGTGATTTTGAGAGTTAAGTGATCCTTTAGAAAATATGATTTGAAGGGAAGTTGAATCCATAGGTACAAGATTTACCGGATGGCTCAGTTTTTTAAAAGGAATTTCATGTGGACAGTTACTGTTTTTTATTTATCTGCAATGAAACTTCAGAAATAAATGCCGGAAGCTTGAAAAGATCTCAAGTGAGAGATTGTGAATGACTTAATGGATCAACTTTACCAAGAACTCTACATTTCTACATTTTTAAATGCTGTTTTCTTTTTAAAGTAGATTTGCAATGTTTGCATATAATTCTATAGATCATTAGTATATAATTTGGCAAGTATTATAAGAAAAAGAGAGATAATATTGATCCTATCTTATAAACAAAATATTAAACCTGAATAGATTAGGGGGCAGTTAGTTTCCCAAAGTGATAACTGCTTTAAACAAATACTTTAAATTATCTAACACTTTAAGTGAAAAATGACATTAATTGGTCAAATATACCTGGAAACTTTATAGCAAGTATTTGGGCTTTAAGCTAAACGAACACTTAGTAAAAGCCTTCTTGAAGGTCTGATCCTCTAATGGGCCTTCCCACACTTCTCTAAAACTATTCTTGCTGAACAGATTGAAAGGCTGAATGATATGTTATAATATACATTTACTATGCCTTTAAACTTGAATAGGCCATATTTTTATAAGTGCATTATATAAAGTGTTAAGAGTAATTTATATTAAATGAAAATGATAGTACCTCAAATTTCAGCAGGACACCATTTAGGAAAATACGGATGATGGAATTATTATAAAGGGCTTAGATTACAGTATATAAAGACAGCCACAGATTAAATATAGCCCATGCGTATGTTGTAAACAGTTCTGTTTTTTCAAGAGTATTCTTGTTCACACTGATATACTACAGGTTACTTCAGAAATTTCTAAATATAATTTGTATTTGTTTTCCTGTATTTTTAAGTCAATTTATGCTAACATTTTAAAATTAATTTTTCTGGATCATTTGAACTGGTACTTAGTGATATAATGAAGTATGGCAAGCATGTAGTCAAATGAACTTTAATCTTACAGAACTTCCTATGGTTGACTTTTCATATAGATAAAATAAATTATTTTGCTAAAATCATTAAATATAAACATTAAAGATATTGCTATTTCCTTTAAGAAGATAGTGAAATTCCTTTGCCACTTAATCTAAAATTGTTTTAGCAGCTTCTACCTATTTATATCCTTACAGCATTTGAAACCTTAGGAAACAGTACATATATATTTACCTGGCAGGGGAGATACACTATTGGTGAGAGCTACCCATAGATTTTAATGGTATTCATGTTTTACATGTTAAGTATATGGTGGGTTAAAACTATTATTTTGTATATCCTTAACATGCCATAAA
Organism: Homo sapiens; assembly: GCF_000001405.40. Taxonomy (NCBI): domain Eukaryota; kingdom Metazoa; phylum Chordata; class Mammalia; order Primates; family Hominidae; genus Homo; species Homo sapiens. The sequence goes on from NC_000005.10 coordinate 84,616,791, forward strand.
TAATTCATAAAATTATATTTATAATTTTCTAGTCTCTCATTTGATTTGACTATATTCATGGTAACACCATGGAATACTATGCAGCCATAAAAAATGATGAGTTCATGTCCTTTGTAGGGACATGGATGAAATTGGAAATCATCATTCTCAGTATCGCAAGAACAAAAAACCAAACACTGCATATTCTCACTCATAGGTGGGAATTGAACAATGAGAACATATGGACACAGGAAGGGGAACATCACACTCTGGGGACTGTTGTGGGGTGGGGGGAGAGGGGAGGGATAGCACTGGGAGATATACCTAATGCTAGATGACGAGTTAGTGGGTGCAGTGCACCAGCATGGCACATGTATACATATGTAACTAACCTGCACATTGTGCACATGTACCCTAAAACTTAAAGTATAATAATAAAAATAAAAAAAATAAAAAAAAAATAAAAAAAAATAAAACAGAATAGATCATGGGAAAGTATAATGGACAATTATAATCAGCATAAATAATCTGTATCTGAACTTTTTATAAAATTAATGCCTCTACTAAAGTATATATTCTTCTAACTTTTCCGTTTTTTTTCTTCTTTACTGTGTCTTTTCTCTAGATAATTTTCATTTGATAAAAATTCATGTTAAAAAAGTATTTCTGGGCCGGGTGCAGTGGCTCACGCCTGTTATCCAAGCACTTTGGGAGGCTGAGGCGGGCAGATCACAAGGTCAGGAGATCAAGACCAGCCTGGCCAATATGGTGAAACCCTTTCTCCACTAAAAATACAAAAAATTGGCCGGGCGTTGTGGCGGGCACCTGTAGTCCCAGCTACTCGGGAGGCTGAGGCAGGAGAATGGTGTGAACCCAGGAGGCGGAGCTTGCAGTGAGCACCGATTGCGCCACCACACTCCAGCCTGGGTGACAGAGTGAGACTCTGTATCAAAAAAAAAAAAAAAGTATTTCCCTAAAGTTTTGGGCTTACCATAATATATACATTGACTTAATTAATACATTTGTATTCCTTATATCAACTACAAGATTAAACGTCTAAATTTAAACTTATTTGCAAAATATATACATAAATTAATCAGTAAAAAGGTTAAAATATACCCAAAATATAAGCATCCAAGAGGTTTTCTGATATTTGACAACAAAACATCCATTTTAAGTTTGGACAAAATTTTAATTATTGTTATTCTAAAATATGTAATTCCTAAATCTTGAAAGATAGAGATTATTTATTTTCACAATTGTGAACTATATGATACAGTGAATATTAACCAGACTTTGTGTTTTATCATTAATAATGTATATTATTTAGTTATTGGTGAATATTACCTATAACTAAAAAGAAAAGCAGGAAAATTAATTTAGTATGAAGTACATAATAATGTTTTATAAAATTGTAACTATTTTATTAATATTTGATTTCTATTTTATACTCTACAATGACAGAAAAATCAAGGGCAGGAATGACTCATTTAAAGGTGACAATTCTTAAATTTATTTTCTCCTCTTTGGAAAAAACTAGATTTAAAAAAAAATAGTACTTTTCTTATCTCAAAAGATTTTCTGTAAATAGTGTCAATGTCATTTTCAGTATCAATTCTGACCTGATATGAACCTACACTAACATACACTGAATTCTGCATTGTTATAAGGAAGATATGCTAACATAAAGGAGGATGTGAAACCCTGTAATAAGTCATTCTCTACAAAGTGGTCATCTGATTGTTTGGCTTTGATCAATTTTTGTATTTCCTGACTCAATATAAATTTTAAAAACTAAACGTTTTTCTTAAGAAATTAAAAGTCTTATGACATTATCAAAAGGAATATAAATTTAGAAACTCTTACATAACAAATTTAACAGGAATTTTCAAAGAACTGCTTTATTTTATTTTCCACATGATATAAAGCAAACATTTGACTGCCTTACACCAAGAAAAATGAAGTTTACTTCTATTGATCAAAGCTCATATTAATACAAATAGGTAAAATAATAAAAACTATGTATCATATTCATTTTTATTTGAAAACAAATGTCAGAAATCATGATCCAAAATTTAGATGAAAGGTTGAACAAGTTTGTAGAAGTTGGTTTATGATAGTGTTATTAGGACAAACATAAGAACAATAGATATTGGTACTTTACTACTGTTAGAAATCAGAAATACTTTTAAAAATACTTAAAGATTGTGAAAACAGGGCAGGTGCAGTGGCTCATGCCTGTAATCCCAGCACTTTGGGAGGCCAAGGTGGGTGGATCACTTGAGGTCAGGAGTTCGAGACCAGCCTGGCCAACATGGTGAAACCAAATCTCTACCAAAAATACAAAAATTATCCCGGTGTGGTGTCACGCACCTGCAATCCCAACTACTTGGGAGGCCGAGGTGGAAGAATCACTTGAACCCAGGAGGTAGAGGCTGCAGTCAGCCGAGATTGTATCACTGTACTCTAGCCTGGGCAACAGAGCAAGACTCCATCTCAAAAAAAAAAAAATTGTGAAAAAATATATGTGTATAAAAGATGCATTTTACACGGTTGATGTCTTGCAGTTTCAGTCATCTGGAAGCAGACATTGAAAGTTTGGGGAGCAAGATGCTCAACAGAGATTAACAATTGTGACCAGAAAGAAAGGAAGCAGGATGGACAAAAGGGTTGTCGAGGCCTACAAGGTTTTGGCCACCCCAGTGGGAGTTGTGGAGTGGGTGTTGCATCTTAGTACCATGTTGGTCATGCCTTCATGCCAATGCCACACTCTATCACCCTGGATGGAGCTGACCTCCAGCCAACTGAATCTCTGCAGTGAAGGCAGATCTCAAGCAGTGAACAGAAAGTCCTTTTGATCAATTTTTATTATATATTTTTGATGCCAGGGTACTAGAGTGATCTATGCCAAGATCCTCTGCTTTTAAAAAAAGTATATAAATAAGTAATAAAAATATCTAAGGGCTATTGAGGCATTATGTCATGGTTAATTGTCAACATGGCTCTTTTTTAAATTAATACACAAATTACTGTTCAGATCTTACAATATTGTTTTATAAATAGAATCTATTTTTTAGAGTAGTTGTAAGTTCACAGCAAAATTGAATAGTACAGAGAGTTCTCATATACTCCCTAGCCCTCGCTGCCTAGCCTTCCCTACTATCAACATTTCACACCACAGTGGTACATTTGTTATAACCAATAAACCTATAATAGCACACCATTATCACCCAAAGTCCAGAGTCTACATTAGGATTCACTCTTGGTGTTATATATTCTATGGATTTTGACAAACATGTAATGACATGTATCCACCAATATAGTATTATAGAATAATCTCACCACCCTAGAAATCCTCAGTGCTCCTTCTCTTCATCCTTCCTGACCCCTAAACTCCTGGCAACCACTGATCTTTTCACTGTCTCCATAGTTTTGCTTTTTCTAGAATGTCATATAGTTAGAATTATATGATATGTTTTTATAGAAGCTTTTTTAGATTGGCTTCTTTCCCTCAGTTGTATGCATTTAAGATTACTCTATGTCTTTTCATGGTTTGATACCTCATTTCTCTTTAGCACTGAATAGTATTCCATTGCCTGGATGTACCATAGTTTATATCTTATCATCTACTGAGGATATCTTGGTTGCTTCCAAGTTTTGGAAATTATGAATAAAGCTGCTATAAACATCTGTTTTTAGTCTCTTGTGTGGATATAAGTTACAACTCATTTGTGTAAATACAAAGGAGCATGATTGCTGGATTGTATGGTAAGAGTATGTTCAGTTTTTTTACAAACTGCCAAACTGTCTTTTAAAGTGGTTTTTCATTTTACATATCCACCAGCAATGAATAAAAATTCTTCTTGGTGACATCCTCACCAGTAGTGATGTCAATATTTTGGATTCTGGCCATTCTAATAGTTGTGAAGTAGATACCAGTTGTTTTTAATATTCAGCTCCCTAATGACATATGATATTGAGCATCTTTTCACATGTTTATTTGCAATTTGTATACCTTCTTTACTAGGGTGTTTGTTCAGGTCTTTTGCTCATTTTAAAATCAGGCTGTTTGTCTTCTTACTGATGAATTCTAACTGTTCTTTGTATACTTTGGATACTTCAGCAGATTTGTCTTTTGCACATAATTCAACCTGGTCTGTGGCTTGTTTTGTTGTTTCATGATGGTGTCTTGAATTTTAATGAAGTCTAGCTTATCAATTATTTATTTCATGGATTGTGCCTTTTGTGATGGATTTAAAAAGTTATTGCCATACTCAAGGTCATCTAGATTTTCTCTTATGTTATTTTCTAGTTGTTTTATAGTTTTGCAAAAGGTCCAGCATATCCAGCACAATATTGAAGGAGAAGAACAATGTCAAAGAACCAGACACTACTAGAATTTGAGAATACCTACAAAGCTACGTTAATCAAGACAGTGTTGTATTAGCAAAGAACAAACGAATATAACAGATCAGCGAAACAGGATAGAGAGCCCAGAAATAGACCTACATACACATAGTCACCTGGTGTTTTATCTATTTATTTTTTTGAGTCAGGGTCTTGCTCTGTCACCCATGCTGCAGGTGCAATTACAGTTCACTGCAGCCTCAAACCCCTGGGCTCAAGCAAGTAGCTAGGACTACTTGTATGTGCTACCATGCCCAGCTAATTTTTTACTTAAAAAAAAAAATTGTAGAGACAAGGTCTCACTATGTTGCCCAGACTGGTCTCGAACTCCTGGTCTCAAGTGATCCTCCTGCCTCGGCCTCCGAAAGTGCTGGGGTTACAGGTGTGAGCCACTGCACCCAGCTGTCAGATGATCTTTGACAATGGAGCAAAGGCAATATAATGGAGAAAAGATAATCTTTTCAACAAATGGTGATTTTTTTTTTCATAGAAAAAAAAATGAATGTAGACACAGACCTTAAACCCTTTACAGAAATATAACTCAAAATGGAACATATACGTAAATTAAAATACAATTATCATAAAGATAATATTAAACATGCCTGGCAGTTTTTTCTGACTCCTTGGCTCCCCTTTCTCAATTTTGAGAACATTTATAACATTTAGGATATCTTGTTCTTAAATATTTGATAGAACTCTCAGTAACATTGAGTTTCATCTTTCATTTTGTCAAATATTTAAAACATTGTTTGACTTCTTTGCTGCTTACACTTAATTAGCCTCTCCCTTATCCCCTTTGGTTAGTTTTAGTAAGCGTGTATTTTTTTCAGTAAGTTCATTTGTTCTAGATTTTCAATTTTATTTGCACAAATTTGTTCATAATTCTCTCATCTTTAAAAAAACCCACTGTATCTACAATTGTTGTGTTTGTTTCTACCAATATTTATTCATGCTTTCTTTGCTCTCTTTTGTGATTAACCTTAGAAAAGCCATTTTGTTTTATTTTATGTATTAGCTTGGGTCCTATTAGAAGCAGATAACAAGATGAAATTAAATGTGCAGGGGTTTAACTAAGAGAAATGCCTGTGCAGAAAATATAGCGAGGAAGCTGGTGAAGAACTGAGAGAGCTGTCAGACCACAGGCAAGTCTCATCCAAAAAAAGGAAGAAAAGAAGAAACAGTAGACAAATGTGTCCTTTATGGTTGTCCATTCTAAAGAAGATATGGCAAGGCCTTTGGGGAGTCCTTGAGCTAAAGTCAGACATCCCATATGTGGTTTAGTAAAAAATAAAATGTATTGGGCTAAGTGCAGTGGCTCAGGCCTGCATATTAATGTTTATATCTTTTTAAAAATAATTCAAGGACTTACAGACATCTCTGTCTCTGGTCATGCTCCTTATCCTGGCTCACATGGCATTTCAAGATCAGGCTTACATTATTATCCTGATGTGCTTAGTCACTGAGTGGGAGAAATCCATGAGCATCTTGGTCTTAGTGCGAGCATGAGTGGAATTTATAGCAAACGTGACAGTTAGTGTTGGTAAATTATGCTCCCTTCACATGGAGGTCTGTGAAGTGCATTCTCATAGCCACTACAATTCATCCGTCAAAGAACAATTTTCCAGTCTGTGCATTCTATTTTATTTTTATGTTCAATTTCATCAATTTCTTCTCTAAATTTTATTATTTCGTCTTTTCTAATATAAACACTTAGAGCTTTCTTGTAAAGTATCATTTAGCTGCTTTCTATAAGTTTTTATGCATAATGCTTTTATAATCATTTAATTTTAAGAATGTTGTAATTTTTAGTGTGACTTCTCCTATGACCATGAACTATTTGGAGACTTACTTCTAACTTTACCATTTTTAAAAAAATTATTATTTGGTTTAGAAGTTGACATGTGTCTTCAAGTGACTTGCACACATATTTTCAGGATCTTTGTTTTGCCAAATACTGAGTCCTTGATAACTCTGAAGTCTAATTTTTTCTTATCTCAAACCGGTGATACAGCTGATCCTTTGATCTCCACTTTTGTGCTCTTAGCTCAGATAGGCAGACGCATGTGGTTTCCAAAAGGAAAACCACAAGCAGAATTCAGTTCTCAGATCAATGTACCCTTATTCCTGTTCTTGGCCTCTTAATTCTGGTTGTTATGGTTGTTTCTTAATAATTTTTAAAGAACAATATATGTGTGTGTATGTGTATTTGTATGTTTGAAGTATATATTGCATATATATCATATAATACATAAAATAAATTCATTAATAGAGATGTGTAACACACAAAAATATGTGTATGTTATGTTTAAATATTTAAATGTAAATATAGATTTACATTATCTACTTATACGACAAATATAACACTGCATATATTTTACATATGTATATATATAAATTCATCTCTCTATATATCTCTCTACCATCTGCTTTTCTAATATTTAGCTTATATCATTGTCCTCTGTGGAAGGACAATGAGTTTGACCCCAGCTATTCCAGAACAGACATTACCCAAAGTGTGATTTTTCATCACATTTTTGGCCTTTTTTAGCCCTTTTGAATAAATTTTTTTTATATAACATTATTCCCACATTCATTTGCAAGGTACACATTCTGTTTTTTTTTTTTTCCTTAAAGTTTACCTTTGGTTTTTAATCCCACATGTGTTTTAATAAAAAATAAAACACATGTGTTGGGCTAAGTACTGTGGCTCAGGCCTGTATATTAATGTTTATATCTTTTTAAAAATAATTCAAGGACTTACAGACATCTCTGTCTCTGGTCATGCTCTTTATTCTGGCTCACATGGCATTTCAATTAAATGTCATAGTTTTATCTTTTTCCCCTTTATATTTTAACATATTAGTCATTCTTATTGCTGTTTTTTATAGCCAGTATATGGTTAGATTTGCCCAAGGTCTTACCACTTTCTTATTCACCATTTTTTCTTGTATGACAGAACTTCATTTTACATCATTTTCCTACTCATTGAAAAACATATTTTATTCCATTGTCTCTCATTTCTGTTTTTGGTGTTGAGAACTATGCAGTTAACTCTGGGTAATTTATCTTTTGCCTCTGCCTGTCTTTAATATATTCTCTTTGTCTTTGGTGCTTAGTTTTGAAATGATATGTCTAGATGTGCATTTATTTTTTATTGACCGTTTTTGCATTTTTTAATTTAGTTTGACTACTTATGTCTGTCATCAACAGAAAACATTTAGTCATTACCTCTACCCCATTTCCTTTCTCTCATTTGTTAAATCTTCTCCCTCTATCTTTTGAGGTTTTTAGGCCCTCCTTCCTATTTCTGATGCTTTGATTTTTGGGATGTATTCTGGATAATATTTTCAATTCTCACAGTTCACTAGTTTTCTCATGAGCTGTTTCAAATATTTTCTTCTGAATTTCTAACTGAAGTAGCTATATACATATATTTTCAAATCTACCTTTAATTTCATAATTTAAAAACTCATTTATATTTTGATAACCTTACTTATTTATTTATTTATTTAAAAATATTGGCTGACTTCTTTTGCATTGTGTATCCCAGACTTCTAATTCTTACCTAATTTTGGCCTAAAATGTTATGCTACCATACTGGGAAACAGAAAACTCATCTATGTCAACCATATGAAATTAAGTAGGTCTTTGCTTGAGCACCAGTCAGAATAGTATAAATCTGAAACCATATTTCACTGGGAACCATTAAAGATTTTCTTTGCTAATATGTTATTGTAATTAATAATATGTGAAAGTAATTGCAAAGTGTTAAGTGAGCAAATAAAGAGGAAGACCACAAAGTAATATGCAGATTATAATTAATATTTTATGTAGGTATCTATGTGTGTGAATACACATATATACATATATGTATATGTATATGTATATGAATATATGCTACTTCTGTATCTTCATATACATATATACATGTATATATACATATACATATATTTATACACACATATGTGTGTGAAGATATATATATGTAGAGACAGAGAGTGGCTATCCTTGTATAATACCAAAAAAATATCATGGTGTAACAGAATTAAAGATGACTTTTATTTTATATAGATTTATAAATAATTTTATATTTTTTTCTCTAATAAAAAAGTATTACATTTTTATTTGAGAAAAAAATAATTTCTTAATTATACAAATCTTTTAGTAAAATCTTTGTGATTTTTTTGAAATAATGTCAGGAGAATGGATACTGTTTCTGTGTTGGCTGCCAGGGAAGAATTTATCTTCCCTAGTCAAATGGAGATAATATGGGAGAAATGTACTGAGAGCACTGGAGGATGTATTTTTCTGCTTAAGATAATGTTAATAAATTATCCTATTTGCATAGTAATTTGGGGAAGATAAAAATTATCTCTACTCTTAAGGCGTTTATTTTCTAGTGACAAGAGACATACCAAAGATTAAATTGAACAAAAGACTATGCACACGCTAGGTTTGTTGTTTAGATATGAGGTGAGCCAGCTTCTCTCCTAACCCTGCTACAACTAATGAATGTAAGTAAATCAGTGAACTCTCTTAGTATAGTCTTCCTGATTTGTCAATGCCATTTCTGCTCTACCTAATGTGTAATGGTGCTGTGATAATAAAATTTGGCCACACACAAATTAATGCCTTGAAAAATTCAAAGTTGTTTATCTTAAGGGATATATGACGAACACTATTTTGGAAAAGAAATTAGTCCAGTTAAATGTTGATTCATTTCTCAGACAGTGAACCTGAGGCTCATGGTTAAATGAGATTAGTCTTTTTAAGTAATCTTATAAATAAATGTGGAAAAGATAATAGGCAACTAGTAGTCGTTTCATTCGGTTCTCTGTTCATAAACTAAAAATCTTATTTTCTGCAACTGCCTTTTTAAAAAATTACGAGGGAGATTGGAGAAGAAAATTAAAGGATCAGCATAATTACTATGAAAACAATATGTCCACTGTCTAAAACCACACATGACTAGGTAGGGTTTTGGCTTGCAAAAAGTTGTACAATACCACAGCTTGTGGGATGAAGAATCCAGTGATCTCTAGGAGCACCTATGGGCAAATTTACATGGTGATCAAAGAGCCCCTTGAGAGAAAAAGGTTAACAGTTTCCCACTTTTTTCTTTAATTTCACTATGATAGGTATATTTACAGTGGTTGAAAAGGAAGGTACTTATTGACTGACTAGTAGAAAAGGATACAAAATTCTGCAATGAGAAAGGGCTGTGAACAAATTTGGTTGACAAGTACTTAATATGTTGTTTGAGTTGGCAAGAGAAAGGGCATCATAAGAAGCATGATGTTTTGCTGAATCCAGAAATATTTCCTGACAGCTATGGGTAACCAATATATATTTGACAATATTTTTGTTTACTTAGTAAATACAGTATACTGTCCTATGCATTCGCGGTGTTATGTAAGTGAATATAAATACAAACCCTGCGTCACGATCTTACGTGCCAGAAAAAAAAAAAGTTGTACAAGTTAATGATTATATTATGAAGCAGAAATTGGTAATCACCAAACTTAGAGCTTAATTTTTATATCAAAGGAGAAAATGGAAGCATTATATCTATTATTTGCAATTGGGAATGATTGCACAGATGAGATGGCATTTACATAGAACCTTAAACTTTAAAATATAAAAAGTGTATAGATTAGAATGATATAGAAACTTAGAACAAGGCATTCATGATTGAGAACAGTAGATAACTAAGAGGAGAGAAAGAAGAAAGCAGAGGATGGACCTGGGTGACATTGTATAGTATTTTAGAGAAGGATAGAGATGAGAGAGATAAGAAGACTTAAGGCATGTGACAAATCACCATAGGCCTTGAATATTAAGTTAAAAGTAAACTTTTCATTCCATTTGCAAAAGGATTCTATAAAAGATATAAAGGAGTACAATCTGACATCATGTAAAACTTGCTTTGGATCGAAGAGCATTTATAATCAGGGTGACCCATCGGAAGACTGTGTTTCACAGTGCAAACCACAGATAATAAGGTTGGAAAACAGGATGGGGAAGTGGGAATGGTGAGAACAGACAGAGGCCAAGCAGTACAGGGGAGCAGCTTGGTGGCTGCATGGTTTGCATTATACAGGGCCTTTTCTATATATTTTCAGTATTAATTCTGTCCTGCATTGATTATCTCTTCCCATTCTGCTGTTCTTTTATCTGTTCTTTTTTCTTTGGTACTTTTGTCTTACAAGTATATACATATTTGCTTTGGAAATATGATTTTAAAAAGCAGAAAGATATTAAACATCTATATTCCTATCACACAGACTAATCTTCAAAAACTAGATTTTATTTTTAATCTCCTTAAAATAAATAAGTACAAAATAAGACTTAAGATGTTATTATTCACTACCCTCCTAGTCAAAACTGCTATTGTGAGTTTGATGTATGTAATTCATGTATCTATATATCTGCCATATTTGGTATTTCTAACGTACATTTACATATACATGAAAAAAATCACTTGCATCTTGCTTTTTCACTCAACATTCAAGAACAAACTGAATTATAAAAACAATGCCAAGATTTTGAGTCTTAGAGACTGAGAGGATAGTATAATCAGCAGAAATATATGGTGAAAAAAGGAGAGTAGAGGGCCTGGTTTGGAGGAGGAATTGTGCTAAAATTTTTTGAGAACTTTTTAAATTGATGTGCTGGCAAGATATCCTGTTTTGGGCCTATTAGGCAGGTTGAAATGTAAAACTTGATATGCAGAAATGTATCTGAACTTGATGGAAGTGATTCTCAGTAGCACTGATATTGAGATCATTTAAGATTTTGTATTTTACAACTACCTCCTTAAACTTCAAAGTGCTCCAGGCTCATTGGCTCATATTCTCATTTCCTAGACTTATAACAGAGGAAAAAAAAATTAAAGTATGTAAATCACCTTGATATATGTAGGCCAATTTTATATGTTTTAATAGAAATTAGAGTCTCCTTAACTTGAGATTTGAATGTTTAAATTTCTCTGCTCAGAAAGTTAAAAGTTTAGAGACCTTGTCATTTTTATATGTGTTACCAACATAAGAATAAATAGTTGCTCTACAGTATATATTAAAAACAAATTATATCTTCAAAATAGGTAATAGGCACTGCTTTCGAGAGCATAATTTGTTTTAAATGCATGTTTTTAACAGCACAATTTCTCTTCTTTTTTGCATACATGTAATTTGTTTTCACTTTTGTAGTTTTATACCAGCTTTCAATTAAAATTTTATTCCCAATTGGGCACATCATTTTATTTAAGTTACTTATTTAATACATATTGAAGTGTGTGCATGAGAAGCCCTTTCCAAATAATTAGAAAGTGTCTTTAGTTTAACCTAGATCAAGTCCTTATATTTTAAAACTCATGTGAATAGGCTGCCTGGCAATTACCTGAACTCTGTCCCTGAGCTTTTGACATTAAACAATTAAGCTTTATTTCTTGACTTTCAATTGGTATAGGCACTATCCCACTCCATGTTTGATAAGTTGATTAATGAATCACCAGAACAATTTCAATCCTGTCAAAATAATGGAGAATTCATGATATTTGCTCTAACTAACTAAATTTAAAATGCTAATTCAGGTTCTGAGACAAAGTCTAGGACTGGGGATCAGAAAGAGAGATGTGGAGTGGGAGAGAAAGGGGTAGGTGTTTCCATAAAGGTGTTAGAGATAGTGCTGGGAGGAGAATTATATGTGGGCAGTCCCAGAGACCTTACAACATCGAATGCAATTTTTTTTTTCAGCTTCATGTGAAGGTTATATGATATTTTTGATTATTGAAATGCTACAAAAAAGACTCAGAAACGTCTTCTTCAGTTCTTCCAAATGGAAAGAACTGCTTTAATGATTTTGTTTGGACATCGGATGATGCCTCTCATTCCTCTAGGAACCAATTATTCCTGCTGAAACATTTGTTTGCTGTCATGTAGACATGAGCTAGGTGACAGAAATCACAGAATGTCAAAAGATTAGCCTAGACAGACAAAAAATCTTTAAAGAGCCTTGGGGGCAAACACAGAAACACCCACATGAAAAAATTGAAACAATAATGAAAAATTCCTTCTTTGATGTTTTACAGAGGCAAATAAAATGTGAAAACAATGTTGCTCAAAGTAAATGTATTTTGTACTTGTATGAAACTACTATAAGATTACATATTGTCACTTTGGGAGGCCGAGGCGGGCGGATCACGAGGTCAGGAGATCCAGACCATCCTGGCTAACACGGTGAAACCCTGTCTCTACTAAAAATACAAAAAATTAGCCGGGCGTGGTGGCGGGCGCCTGTAGTCCCAGCTACTCGGGAGGCTGAGGCAGGAGAATGGCGTGAACCCGGGAGGCGGAGCTTGCAGTGAGCTGAGATCCTGCCACTGCACTCCAGCCTGGGCGACAGAGCGAGACTCTGTCTCAAAAAAAAAAAAAAAAAAAAAAAGAAAGATTACATATTGTGTGAGGCCAAAGGTGAAAAGTTTCTACCTTACCTAAGGACTTATGTAGCAAATATGTCCTAGAGTCAGATCTACTGATATCACATATGATAGGATAGAGTGTCACTAAGTATTTTGGGGACAAATGAAGTTTTTGGAGCATAAATGTCAGAAGTAATTTGTACCTAGTTCCCTAGACTTAAAATATTTAAAACATTAATGAATGTAAAAGATAATTTTAAAGCATTATAAAATTACTGCAGCTAGGACCTCTGTTTAGTGCCTTAGAAATGTAGGAAGATCAAGCTCACAGCACTGTGGATACACAATCCTTAGCCAACCTTTCTCTCCCACTCAAATATTTTGAAGAAACCCTCTAGGTCCCGGATCCATTGTAAACTAGACTTTCAAAGTGCTACCATTCATAACTCTTGCCTTTCCAACATTTAGGCATTCAAATATTTTAGGTAATGGAAACTACTCACCCTTCAACTTTCCCTCTGAACACATTTTGGCCGGGTTAGTTTTCTTTTATCCATCAGCCAACTCCCAACTTCTTGTCATTTTCTCTGAACTCTCATGTCTTTCATGATGGGTCTGTCTACCATTTTTCTCTGCTGCAAAGGAGGGAGTTTCTTATAATAAATGACTGAATTCTCTATACCTCGCCTTCTGCCCTAGGAAAACATTTCTTTTCCAAAAATACTCTTCGTATCAGCTAGTCTGTCACATATCCCTGTCCGAAATCTGTAATCTTTCCACAAATTACACTTTTCCCAGAGCCTGACCTCAGGGAGGGTTCACCTTCTCCAGTAGCTGGAAATTTCCAAAAGAGAAGACCAATGGGCCTACCCCTGTTTGCCAATTCCAGATCACTGTTCTGTCTTCTTGTTTTTTTTTAATTCCTGAAAAAAGAGGTTTAGTTGGCTCACACTTTGCAGGCTGTTCAGGAAACCTGTTACCAGGCATCTGCTTAGCTTCTGGGTAAGGCCTCAGAGAGCTTACAGTCATCATGGAAGGCACAGGGGGAGCCTGTGGCAGGTGTGGTGCCACACACTTTTAAACAACCAAATCTCCTGAGAACTCACTCACTATGGCAAGCATAGCACTAAACCATGAGACATCTGCCCCTGTGACCCAAACACCTCCGACCGGGCTCCACTTTCAACTGCTGTGTCTTCTTGATTACTTGAAAGATTCACTATTTTGAAGTGTCAAGTTACATTACAGAGTCAGACTCTACATTTTAGAACTTTCTCCGCATCTGTGTCCTTATTTCTTCTGACTTTGGAAGGACCCCTCTAGTTCTGTAGATAACTGTAACACTCAGGTCTCCATTTTCTCTTCGTTCCTTCTCTCTGTTATGGTATCTGGTTGTATGTCATCCACGGTGATGGCAGATTGTGTATGTTAATGCCCAAGTTCTTTTGACTAGAATTCCTTATTTTATACAAAAAAGCCCAGACTCCAAGATCTGATTTTATACCTCCTATTAACACATGTTAATAAGATGTCTTTTAAAAAAAAATGATCAAAGCCATTGATTCCTGTCACCACCTATATTTTCTTAATGCATTTACAATTATGTCATGCTAAGCAGCTTCAGTTAAGTCCTTACTACTTTTCAGCTATTCTTTTATTTATTTCTTATTTTCTCCCAATTGTTTTCCCAGAGTGACTGTTTCAAATATTTTCTCACAATATTTTAGTGAGAAATCAGAGGCCCTGGATCCTACATCTTTCTTGAACTTTCTTCATAGAATGATCTTCTCATAGATGATTGAATCCACACTGCCCTAAGTTAACAAATTTTCATCAGCCTCAACAATCAGAACTCCCACAGCACCTCAGAATATTTGTGTGTCATTTCCTCATCTTCTATCCCCTCTCCAAAAAAAGTTGACACTCCTCTGCCTTCTAAGGCTAAGATCCTGTCTATATGACCTCTGTTCTCCTTTTATCAACCTGTCTGCCTTAAGAATTCAATTTCTGTGATGTTTTTCAGGCTAGACATGGGGTAGGGGTGAAGATCATGGACTCTGATACCAGGCTATCTGAATTCAAATTCTCACACTGCCACTTAGTAACCAGGGGAACAGTTATATATCTTTTCTACATGTAACATGTATATAACCTTTATATATGCTGGTTTTCTTATCTATAAAAGGAAATGATTATAATGATACATCTCTCCATGAGTTGTTTTGAGGAATAAATGGGATCATATATATGAAGTGTTTATATATGTGGTGAGCACAGTGTTTTCTATATTTTTTCCTAATTTCTGCAGGTCCAATTTTGTACCTTACCAGCTCCTTTACTACAACCTATTAAAATGATCAGATTACTCATATTTTAAAATAAAATTCCCCATAACTGGCCAATATAATTGAAATGAAATAAATTGTAATAAAATATCTGGTTTAACTAGATTAGAGCATTTCCATTTTTGGATTTAGCATCACATATGTAGGACATTATGTTTTCAGATTGATATACAAAAATTACCGTGTTAAAAATATGTATATTTAATCAATGGCATGACTGCCTTATTTAATCTAAATACTAATAATGGGTGGAAATATGTTGTAAATCTCCCTCTTGATATTTTACATTAAGATAATAATAAAGATCATTTTCATATATTTAATTTAATGATAAATATTTCTGTATAACTTTTTAAAATGTCTTTCATTCTTGGTTCTTGGAAGGAGAGAAAGATCTTCCTTTTAGCTATTCAAATTTTATATTCCCCTGTTCTGTTCTGCCCAAGATAAAGGACATTGTTTCCTGAATCCTAATTGAAGCATAGGAGCTTTCCTGTCATTTCCAATCCAGCGGATGTTAACTAGACTATATCTATGTTTCTCAGTTGTTAATGGTACCTGGCTATGATGTTTAAAGAAAACTTACAAGGGTGATATTAGAGTTAGAAGATCCTGTTAGGTACCCAAGTAACTCTAAGAAATAGGTTGTACTTTGTTTCCAGGAACATGACGTTTATAGCTATAAAAGGGAATGTACATATGCACATGTGCATATTCGAATATTAAAAATGTAAAATAATACATAAATGTAAAGAACATTGGAAACCAAAAAGTTTCCTTATTGTGAAATTTTGCAGGAGCTTAAGACATATAAGCAATAGTTTAAAGCATTAAAAGGTCATTTGCAATTCACATTGAAGCCTATATTTCTCTTGCAGGCATTTTAAAAGGTTGTGTGCATCAGAGTAGAAAAAGAAATTGCCTTAATCCAAATAAATACAGTTTTGCTACAACCGTCTGGGACAAAAATATGAAATAGGATTCTCTTATATTAGGTATGTTCTGCCTTTGACCATTACTTACAACCCTAGTGGCACTGTTTCAAAAGTAGAGCAGGGATTCTGTGTTTAAACAATCAAGAATACAAAAATAATATGTTATGACAAGAAAAAGTCATGGTGAATAGTTTTAATGTCTGATGAGATTTGTCTTTAAGCTGTTCAATAAGTTTTTCATTTAAATTTAAGCTAATAAAAAAAATCTTTAGCAAATTTTGCACCAAATTTACAGAAGTTTCCCTGAAGGAGTAAATCTCAGAGGTGGAAAATGTATATTTTTTTCTTTAAAATTTAATTTTAATAAAATTCCCACAGTGAAATACATTCAAATATAATGAAAACTGGCAGCTAATTGTAGTTGAATAAAATGCATGTCAAATTTAATTGTCTTTGGTAATTCAGTTTCATTAATTTATAATTGAATTAGATTTCAATACTTGGAGAAAAAAATGTTTTTCTGTGGAATAATTATAAAAAGATATTTTCTTATATAATTTCCTCATTGGAGAACTTCTTTATTAAATGTTAAAATAGATAAATAATGCAAATATATAAGAAAAAATATTATTTTATATGGCTTGGAAAAGAGTCCAAGGGCATAAGGATAATAGCATTAAGCAATATTTTAATCTTATCAATACCATCATTATAAATTTATTCCTTAAAACAATCCATGGGCTTACTTATCTCTTTACTTATCCTGCAACTCTCAAGGCACTGGTGTTAGATCCAGTACATTATATAATATCTTCTTATTTTGAGCTTGTTCCTTGAAATTATGCTACTTTTTTAACTTGTCAGATTGCCTTTATTTATTTAGCTTAAAATATTAATGATATTATTTAGTTGTTGCTCTGCGATAAAATAGAAAGTCTTTTTGGCTCACTTTTTTTTTTTCCCCAGAGGTTTTCACAGTGTGTAGTAGAGACTAAAATATTTGGAAAATATGGTGATAATTCATGGTTTTCTATAGACATTATAACACTGAGCACCTTATCACTTCCAAATCGTTCAAAGCTGAGTATGATTCCGGCAGTTTCTAAGTGGGGTGAAAATGTAATGGAAGCAATCAGACTGCCTATTCTGAAAACATCCTAGTCTTTTATAGCTCTTTTATAAGCAGGTTTTGTCAAAGAAAAAAAATAAAGCAACGTAGTCTATAAATTCACTGATAAAAACAGAACAGTGCACAGATTCTAGTGGTTTCTGAATTTTTGGTATGGACAACCCTGAAGCAAATGAAGCAAATACTTTCCCCTTGTCATTTTTTTCTCCTTATATAGATTTTTTTGTG
The DNA here is from genome assembly GCF_000001405.40 of Homo sapiens. NCBI lineage: Eukaryota > Metazoa > Chordata > Mammalia > Primates > Hominidae > Homo > Homo sapiens. Next base: position 84,634,233 of record NC_000005.10, read on the forward strand.
TGTGTGATAGTGTTACAGGATCTTTGGGATGTTGCTTTTCTGGCCAGAAACCTGTGGCAGGTAGCACCTTCGCCCGAGTTTTGCTTGGGACTCCTGGGCTGGTTCCACCCACTCAGCCTGGCAGGCTGTACTCCACGACTCATGCTACAGGCCTGGATCCCATGCCTCCAAGGGAGACTGCGAGTCAGGCGTGGAGCAGCGAAGGGTGTGTGAGAGAGCGCAGGGTCCAGCCACTGCACAGTCAGACATGCTGGCTGCTGCCTTGGGGTGAGCAGCTCCAAGTGCCAGCATGGGTGCTGGCTCTCTGCAAGGCTGCAGCTGGACCAGGCGCACTGTAAACAGCTTCCCCAGCTCGCACGGGGGAATGCAATGGTGCCTGGAAGCTTGGAGATGCCAAGAACCGCAGGGCACCAAAGAGGGAGTCATAGCCTTGGCTCAGGGAACTCCCAGGTCTGGGTTTCCCGAAGGGCTGCAGCTCTTCTCTCCTCTTCGCCAGCAATGTGGGTAGCAATGGGCATGTTTCAGCCCTGTTTGTGTTATAGCTCCTTTAGCCTTGCCATTCAGCAAGTCCCGAGTTCTTCTCCTGAGACCAGGAAGAATGAGGTACACAGACAACTGAAGGGTGAGCAAGAGGAAGCGGAACTCTATTGAGCAATAGAATAGTTCATAGGAGACCCGAAGGGGACAGCTCCTTTCCACAGTCAAGGTGTCCCTACGAGTGTTCAGCTCCTAGCAGAGAGGGTAGCTCCTCTCTGCAGGCAGGTCATCCTACCAAGTATTTAGCTTCCAGCAGAGAGGGTAGCTTCTCTCTGCAGCTGGTCGTTCCATCAACTGTTCTGCTCTGTCTGAGCTCGGGGCTTTCATGGGACTCAGAGGAAAGGAAATGCACGCTGATTGGTCCATGGGCTGCCATGAGTGGGCCTGGAAAAGGCATCAGAAGTTCCCAATCCAGTCTGTGGGACTGTCAGCCTGGCCCCAACCTTCAGGTTCTCCCTGGCCTGAGGGTGGTGCCTCACCGGGGACCCTCTCCCTTCCACCCAGGAATGTTTGTGTCTCCCGCTACCGTCCATGGCACCCAGACTGCTTGTGCCAAGGGGTAATGTGCAGGCCAGCACCCAGCTGCCCTCACTCCCGCTCGGCTTCCCCTCCATACTCGTCAGTGCCCAATGTCCAGACTGGGCCGAGGAGGCAGGGGCCTGGCGTGTCAGCACTGCCTGAGCCTGCACACACCCAGCTGGGCTGTGACAGCACCCAGGCTTGGCCCCAACTTCAGTCCAAGATCAGAGCAGGTGCTGGGAGTGAGGAGAGTCCAGGAAGATGGAGAAGATACCCTCGAGCCTGCGGGGATGTAGGAGGCATTCCCAGGCACCTGAGGGTGCAGGGTCTAGACACCCAGGTCCTGCACCTGGGAGGGCAGGCTCCATGGAGCGTGCTGGCAGTCCCAGCCATGCCTCCTTGCAGGCTCTGGTGGGGAATCCAGGTCCTCACTGGGCCCCTTTCTGCCCTTCCCTCTATGCCCAACCTCCCTGTGCCCCCCGCCATCGGGTAGCTTGCCCGGCCCTGTCAGGGTGGCCCCTTGGTTTGGGCTCCGAGGGTCTCCTGCTTGTCCCTGGCTTCCGCCGGCAGCGCCCTGCCCTGGGCCCAGCTCCGCCTCCTCCCTGAGCCCTCCCTGCAGAGACAGCAGGGGAGATTGGCAATGGAACCAGTGTGCAGAGCGATGGAGGCTCTGGGCCTGGGAGCAAGTCCCACCTGGCCATGCCAGAGTGGAGGATGATGGCGGCACAGTTGGCTGCCTCGGGGATGTGGGGCACAGGGGACCCACCGTTGCCATTGCTGCTTCCGCAGCTGCTTCTGCCGACCCCTTCCATGCCTCCTCACTGTAGCCTCCCTGCTGCAGCTGGTGGGATGGCAGCGGCTGCCATCAATAGAATTGTCATTTGTTTTAACAGTATGGCTACCGTTTTTGCCATTTGAGGCACTCGTGAAGGAGGCATGCATAACGTAACCCAGGGAGGGATATCCTTGAAGCTACCTGCAAAAGGCCTCCTCTTTTTGGCCTTCAACTTTATCAAGAAAAAACGATGGCTACCTCTTTCCCATCTCTTCTTTCTGCAGTTGAGCTCTGTTCTAATAAACATTCCCCCTCGTAATCTTTGGGGGTCTTTTGCCTATCTTCATGCAAAAAGATGGGCAAAAGATGGGTTTTACCACCCACCCTATGGATGTTAGGTCAGTGATGATGTTTCTGTTGTGTTAAGGGGCAAGCCCTGATATATGGGATAATTCCACATTTATAGCTGATGAGTGAGTAGCTATTCGTTGAAAAGTGGTTGCCTTTATGATAGAAATTCAAGAATCACAGGGAAGACATGCGACTACCTAAAATGCATCTCTTTCTCTTGGTTAAATTTTGGAATCTTTGGACAGGGCAACTTCTTTTAATCACAAAATTGTTTTAAATTTTAAAATGAAAAATTTCTGACAACACATTATTCCTAAATTTATAAGAAAATGTAAATATATAAAATCACAGAAAGGGATGCCAGGAGAGCCAAGTGGCACTGATTTTGAAATAGTAAAGAAGGAAGGATAGACAGGGAATAAAAAAGAAGCAAAAAGATTCAAGTCAATCTACACCTTCAAAATAAGAAAAAAATAAAATAAGCCTAGATAAACTTGAGAGTTCTGTTATAATAGCCAGGATACAGAATTAACCCAAGTTTCCATCAGTGGACAAATGGATTAAAAAATGGACGAATAGATAAAGAAAATGTATATGCACAATGTTACTTTATTTTCTTTTACTCTGCTTTGAGTTCGGGGCAAATGGTTGATTCTCATAATTAATTACTAAACAATTTCCCTTTTTAATAATTTATCTTTTAAAAGCCCCCTTAAGCTGTTTTTCCCTTAGTCAGATCTTCACTGGGGCTTAATAACCAGTTAAAAACACTGATTTGAAACTGTTCTCTTCTATAGGCAGCAACCCACCCAGTTACATTGACATAAGTAAATGCATAGATTAAAAACTGTTAAAATTAGGCCTTGCTCTGATGGCTAAGGGTGATCAAAGGCAACTAAGGAGAAAAATAAACTGACAGTCTTCGAATGCTGAGAGAATACTTTAAAACTTTTTGGCCAGGTGTGGTGTCTCTCACCTGTAATCCCAGCACTTTGGGAGGCCGAAGCAGGCAGATCACCTGAGGTCAGGAGTTTGAGACTAGCCTGGCCAACGTGGCGAAACTCATCTCTACTAAAAATACAAAAATTAGCCAGGCGTGGTGGCGAGTGCCTTTAATCCCAGCTGCTTGGGAAGCTAAGGCAGGAGAATCGCTTGAACCCAGTAAGTGGATGTTGCAGTGAACTGAGATCGCACCACTACACTTCAGCCAGGGCCACAAGAGCTCCATCTCAAGTTAAAAAAAAAAAAAAAGAAAAATTAGCATAGGGCATATATTCCAAATAACTGTAACACTATGACAGTATTGTGATAATATTTTCTTCCTTCCTTCCTCCTTCCTTCCTTCTTTCCTTTCTCCCTTCCTTCCTCCCTTCCCTCCCTCCCTCTTTTCCTTCCTTCCTTCCTTTCTTCCCTTTATTTTTTCTTACTTCCTTCCTTTCTTTTTTCCTTCCTTCCTTTCTTTTTCCTTCTTTTCTTCCTTCCTTCCTTTCTTTTTTCCTTCCTTCTTCCTTCTTTTCCTTCCTCCCTCCCTCCCTCCCTTCCTTTTTCCCTTCCTCCCTTCCCTCCTTCCTTTTCTCTCCATTTCCTCTTTTCTCCCTTTCTCTTTTAATTTTCAAAAGTATTGCCACATTTTACTACAATTTCCTTTCCCTGAAGCTTCAGTAAAGTATTGAATGGCAAATCACAACACCTGAAAAGTTCTTTCCTTTGATGTTTGTTGATGTTTGGCGGTTTCCTGACAGGAACATGCCAAGAACAGGTATCAAAACAATCCAGAAAGAAGACATTGATCTGCAATTTTGATGATTAGAGAATCTGGTATCAACAAGAAGTGTGTAGTTATGATCTCTGAAAATAAGTCCCTTGCTATGTTCCTTATGCATTATTTAAGCTACAGTACATGGCTGTGATGAATGCAGTGTGAGAACTCCATTTCTAAGCATAATAAATAGAAATCAGATGCAATCACTCATGATACTTCACAGAATTGTGCTGAGAGCATGTTTACCCAGTGATGTTCTACTGAGCAATTTTGTTTGAGACAGTAGAATTTTCATTATTAAAAGACTTTAGATTCTGGATCATTTTGTATTTATGCTGTTTACAATAATAATGGGTATGATCATTAAGGTACTTTGCAAGTGACATTAATTTTATTACTCCTCTCCAGGTTAAATTTGACATTAAGGTTTTCAGCCTGTGTAGTTAATGTATAGCTCTCTGGTTTTCTTTTTTATATGTGTTCTTTGCAAAATCTTTGGGGTTTACACTGGAGGAATAATATGATATTTACTTACATAGTGAGTGTATTTCTATAATTTAGAGCTGAGAGAAGCAAATTTTAGCCTTTCATTTTCCTTTCTCCACCCAGAGATTTCTACTTTCATATCCATAAATAAATAACAGAATGCTTGAGACACCCTATGGTATTATAATGGTAAATATTTATATCATAAAACAAAAAGCATTTCCTCTCTAAAGGAAACTCTCTACAGGGGACATACGGAGCAGCTTTTTAAAATCTGAAATTTAAGAACCTCATGGTCAGTTTCAAAGAGTAAATAAAATGTGTTTAGGAATAAAAGTCATTTCTTTCCTCCCACTTCATAGTTAACTGATTTTAGAATTGGAAAAAATTGAATATCAGTATTTTTAGACTGCTAAAACAAAATTAGATTTCTAGAATATGACATGTTTTATGCCAAATAAATTTGCAAATTAAATAAGACCTGGAAAACAAATGGGCTAATGAGACTTCAAGTAAAGCACTGAAAAAAAAAATGCTTTCTAACTTAACAAAAACAAAAGTTCTTATTTTCACTTTTTAAATTCCTCTTCCTACGAAGTGTACCATTTTGTCATTGGTTAAGGAGCATAAAATAACCCAGAAATATGTGAATCATGATTTAGAATCTTGATAAGGAAAATGTTTAGAGTAAGTAAAAAAAATAACAAATATAATGTGTATATATATCTATATATACACACACATATATTTCTATGTATACATGCATGTAGTTATATATAGGCACATACATAATACATGTTTTATATGTATATAAACACATATACATTATATTTTAGAATTGATATAGCTTCCAATTCTCAATTCCTTATACAAAGACTATTTCAGCTTCTTTTCTTCAGAACATTTTCAATGTTAATACTGTTAAAGTTTTATATAAAATATAAACTTTCTATATAAAATGTTTTGGTGCTGCTGACATTTAACAGAGAACATTTCCAGTATGAAAATTAGTTGAAATATTGGGCTCCAAGTCAAATTTGTGTCTTAGTGCATAGTTCTGTGAGTATACATACCTTTTTACAAATAAATGCATTTAAAATATATATGTTGTCAATGATAAAATGAGGCTACAATAAATTTAAAAATCAAACCCTAATTTTATGTATTTGTGTGTAATTTATGTATTAAGAGAGAGAAGTATGAAATATAGAAAAAGGATAAAAGTGTGAGTGGGTGAAAAGAAAGACAGGATCCAGCATGTAAGTCCTATAATTGGAAGAAGAGAAACATAATCTTTTTGAACTTAAAAATAGTTTCAGTTTAAAATATGGCAAAAGTTTCTTATGTTTTTATCATCTCTAACATAGATCAATTTTTCACTTGCATGAATAATTTGAATGATCTGCTTGAGGAATAGTTTGACTAGTATAAAAAAAGTTCTGAAAACTTAATTTTAAAAAATTCAATGACTTCTCTGAAGTTGTTAATGGGGCATGACAATACAAGGTTGAGAATCGGCATGCATTTACTAGCCTTGCTTGTGTAATTTCCAACTCACTGATTCCTAGTAAAGAAAATAAGGTTTAGGAAATTTTAGAATATTTGATATATTTTTTAAATTAAAATCTGACATAAATCTCTTGTAGTGATGTTGAGTACATTTAAAGTATTAGGTTGGTGCAGAAGTAATTGCAGTGTTTTCATTAAAAGCAATAACAAAAATTGCAATTATTTTTGCACCAACCAAATATAAATCAGTATGATAGGTCCAAAAGTACTTTAAAATATAAACACTGAATGAATACCCATCACTAAACTATTTCTGTGGATAGAAACTTACATCGTTTAAAAACATTTCTTCCCAGGTGGCTGCACTGAAAAAAAAAATAATTTTTTTCTTCTATCTGAGTTAAAATATCTGGACAAAGATGTGATGCTAGGGCAAATAGCAAAATTAAAATTGGTTTAGCTATTTTGACTTTGATATCTGTATAATAAAAAAAATGTTACTTAAGAATCTCCTTCTACAGTTTATAGCTAGAGATGCCTGCCTAGCTACAGTGAACAATCCTTCATGATACAAGTATATAGATATCTGATCTCTTTAAAAGGAATGTATAAAAACACACTAAGTGCTGTATTTTACATTAAATGTTCAGATTTAGAATTATAGTAGCTTTTGATGTTATCTAAAGTCTACAAGATTTACTATGAGTCTTAGGCCAAGACATTTTAATAGGGTTTAAGGCCAGAAATCTATCCTATTTGAATATATATTTAGTTTGACAGTAAAAACCATAAAAAAATCCACACATCTGACCTTATGTCATGTCAAATACACCTAACCTGATGAATTTCCTGCAAAAACATGGGCATGATGCTATGTATATACTTTCTCCTCTTATCAAGGTCGTAATCATCCTTTAAAACTAATCTTAAAATCACAATTTATGCAAACTTTACCTTAACGTCCCAGAGTTTATTAATGACTTCTATGAGTTGACATAGCCTTCTGTCTACCTCTAGTATAACACTTGAGCAATATTGTAATTTATTTGATTTCAATAACTGCCTTTTCACCAGAGAGTTAGTTTCTTAGATAGAGTATCTTGCAGTTGGTGGGTACTCCAATTTGGCAAATATATAAATGAATGATATAGGTCATGAACAGATGTTAGGTGAACCACTCATTCTGTCCATTTAAGAAGTGGCTCCTGGCCGGGCGCAGTGGCTCACACCTGTAATCCCAGCACTTTGGGAGGCCGAGGCAGGTGGACCATGAGGTCAGGAGATCGAGGCCATCCTGGCTAACACGGTGAAACCCCGTCTCTACTAAAAACACAAAAAATTAGCTGAGCATCGTGGCGGGCGCCTGTAGTCCCAGCTGCTTGGGAGGCTGAGGCAGGAGAATGGCGTGAACCCAGGAGGCGGAGCTTGCAGTGAGCCGAGATTGCACCACACTGCACTCCAGCCTGGGCGACAGAGCGAGACTCTGTCTCAAAAAAAATAAAAAAGAAGTGTATCCTTCAGCACTGAAATTCATGTTAAAGGGCCTGTGATCTCATTAAAGCACAGGGTCAATAAATTATGATACATGCCCTAATAACCCAAAGTGTGCTCATCCTGAACCACCCTGTGCTTTACTTTTTATTTTATTTATTTTTATTTAAAATTCTTTGTATTTAGTATGTTTTGTTGTGTATATTTTAGGTTTACAACATGATGCTATAGAATACCTACAGAGAGTAAAATAGTTACTATACAAGTTAAAATATCTAGTATCTCACATAATGACCTTTTGTGTGACAAAAGCAGCTAAAATGTACTTATTTAACAAAAGTCTCCAGTATACAGTTTTATTAACCATCGTTCTTATATTAGATTTCTAGTCTTGTTCCATCTACACATCTGTTTTTTGTATCCTTTGAGCTCCATCTCCCCATTTCCTCCCCACTTCTTCCCCAACCCCTGATAACCAGAGTTTAATTCTCTCACTGTATATATTTGACTTATTTTTTAAAATATTCCACATATAAGTAATATCATGCAATATTCTTTTTGTGCCTGGCTTATTTCACTTAGCATGATGTCTTTCAAATTCATTCATGTTGTGGCAAATGACAGGATCTCCTTTTTTAAGGCTGAATAATATGCCACTGTATGCATACACCACGTTTTCTTTATGTATTTGTCCATCGATGGACACTGTTTATTTCTGTACCTTGGCTATTTTGAATAATGCTGCCATGAGCAAGGGAGTACAGATATTTTTACAAGAGGGTATTTCATCTCTTTTGGGTACATACCCAGAAGAGGAATTGCTGAGTCATATGGTAGTTCTAGTTTTAATTTCTTTAGAAACTTTCATATTGTTATTCATAGTGGTTGTACCAATTAACGCTCTCACTAACAGTGTACTAGGGTTCCCTTTTCTCCACACTGTCACCAATGTCTGTTGTCTCTTGTCTTTTTGATAATGCCATCTTAACGCGCGTGAGGAGAAGGCTCCAAATAAACCAATGAGTGGGACTGCCAGCGCCAGCCAGAAGAGATCGGCTAGGTGTTTTGTGCTTTCTGCAGTGGTGACACACAGGCTCTTTCCTGGACTCTATAGGACTGAAGCACGGTGGAAGAATTCTTGAGAGCTTGAAATCTGGGGGAACGTATATGAATATAGAGACTAAAATCTTTTTGTCTGGAAAATTCTGGAAGTCTAAGGCTGCTGGAGTAGTCCTTAATGGCAAGGAAAAGAAAGAAAGCAGCAAAAGGAGAGCAGTTTACATTCCTACTATATGGTTTTCCACTGGGAAAGTTGAATGGCTTGGAAGGAAGCCAGGTTTGAGTCATCTTAAAATTACTGAACTCAAAAGAATAACTATCTAGGTAAGGGAACTCTACAGTGAGAGGCGAAAGGAGAATTGCTGGGAACAGGAGGTGAATGTAGTTGAAAGAGGTCAGTAAAAGAGTGTATTTCATAGAACAGAACCCATAGGACTCTGATGGACCTGCAAATGTGGTTTATAAGAGAGCCTGCATCAAAACACTTACTACAAAGAGGGCATTTGTGGCCATATTACAATAGCAAGAGTACTGTAAATGTGTGCTTGACACTGTCCCTTATTTCCCTATTTAAATAGAATATCAATTTCCAGATTTTTCACCATTCATGCTGCTTGGCATCTGATGTAGTTTAAGAAATGACCAATAGCACATTTTACTAAAACATAAACTAAGGGCAAGTGTACATTCTAGTTAAAGGTAATAACTTGATATTACTGAGTTGAAGGAAATCAACAATATGGCTATTACTATATGAGGTTCAAACTTTATTATATTGGAATCTTCTCTTTCATATTGGAGCTCAAAACATTTACACAGAATTATGACAGATATAACAGCATAAACCTAACTACTAGGCAATAGTCTGGTGATAAAAATAGACTATGACATGTAGGGAATAAAATTTCTCCAGGTTTTCACTCAAAAGTATCCTCTGTCTTTAGATAGATTCTATAAGCACAGTTGCAATGTTTATGTACCTCACATACAGGAGCCATTTCCAAAAGTGTAATGTATATTACTTCTTTTTGTCAGAGTGATCCAGAACAAAAGAACAGAAATTTTGCTTCCAAAATTACTAGTGCACCCTTCACATGGTTTGTTTTTTCCCTATTCCTCACTCCCTATTTGTCTTATTTCCCACGCCAGCACTGTGTCACATGTCATTTCATTCTTCAGTTGCCCCTTTTCTTTATGCTGTTTTGGAGCTGCTCAGCCCAGGAGTATGAGTTGTTACCTTCCCTGCCTTCTCTATGTTCAAGTTCCACATTCTCCATTATACCTCTCGACATGGCCTCACCTGCCATGGATTTCTGCCCTCTGTCAGAGCATGGACTAAAATGCTCATAACAATACACTGTGCTTACACCTGAATAAAGCCTGATTTGACTCCAAGGAATATGGTAACACTCAAAGAGGCACAAAAAAGTCATTTCAAACTCAATGAAAAATTACACTTCTGCATTAAGAGGATTTTTTTAACTGCCAAAGATGATGCCATTTTGTCTCCTGAATAAGAAACTGGAGGGTGTTGAAATTGATAACATATTTATAACATAGTATTGCATGTGGCATTTACAACACAATTATTTCCTTCATCTCATTAAGAAAAGATTATTTAAGCTGAAGGATATTTTAGGGCATCAGCTCTCTCTTCTGTTTGATTTTAAATGAGACATGTTCTGATGATGTTTTTTCCTTCTTTAAAGAAAAATGTTTGGTGAATAAGCAGGGTTGAGTTTAGTTCTAAAAAGAAGGAATGGAATAATACTGCCGACTAATTTTAGTTGGGATGAAGAATACACAAAGTCATTCTAAATTATTAGACTGTAAGGAATATTTCAAAGAACAATATTAGGGCTTAGCTCCAAATTTTTGGAGGGTAAAATTGTTCAATTGAATAAACAGATTGATATATTAATTATGGAAAATTATAAGAAAAAATTTAAGGCTTTCATTATTTTTGTGAATGTAAATTCATCATAATTAATATAAGTAAAATTGAAACTCAAGTTAAATAAGATAATTAGAAAACAATAGAAAAGAAGAAACTTATTCTCTTTATTTGGTAAGATTGGAGCTGAGGATTAGAAGGAAGAAAATGAGTAAGTAAAATGTGAGGATTTTATGTAAAAAGAATGGCCAATAGATATCCCAGAATAAATTATGATTACATAAATTCACTAATTTTATAATGTAAGAATAATGAAAAGAGATAGGGAAATTCAAGTTATATATATTCTCTGTTGACTCCAAAATATCAGACAGAAGAATAAAACCTGAGAAATGGTTAATCATCTGATACAATCCTTCTTATAGTGTTATAATACTGGAATACATAATAGACCATTATCAATAATATTCATACCTTTGTCTCCAAGCGTGTTTTTTATCCTCCAACAGTTGCAAATATTTCATGGTAAAATGTATGTAACTCGATTGGTGTGACATATTACGATTTTTGTCTTGCTGGGTCCTTGATATTTTCATAGTCATATAAATATTCAGGAGCTTTGGGACAGTTAAGTTACTTAGAGGCAGTTTGATCCTTTGACATTTTGCTTTTAAAATTTGTTGGATAGGACGAGGACAGTGCTTAATCTGAGCTAATTGTTCTCCACTGCAGAGGCCAAACCTCTTGTATATTCCACCAAATGCCTGTGAATCATGAGGTTTTCCAGTCTGTGTGAGGGTCTGGCACTGTTACCTATAATCCTTCGGGTAGTCTATCCCTTGCCTGGGGTGATTTTCTGACATACATGATCTGCTCAGTACTCACCTGTACTAGATGGATACCCTTTGCAGATCTCCAGAGTAAAGCTCTTTCTCTTGTCCTCTGACTCGCAAACTCTTGTTGATATGGGAGGGGTAGCGACGGGCGGGATCCCTGGCGAGGGCTCCACCCTCGGGCCTGTGCCCACAGACCTAAGTGAGGACAGGCACTCCTATCTTTGTGCCCAAATATTTCATTTTCCAAGACCACTCTGGCCTGCCACGTGCTTTATCCCATACCTCTAAAAATCCCGAGACCCTAGCAGGCACACATACAAGCGGTTGGAAGTCGAGAGGAACACACCAGCAGAAGAGCACACCGACAGACACCGGCAGGCCGTTGACGGCGGAATGAGGTGGAAGTCGAGGGGAATTAGGCCAGGGGTGGTCGGAGGAGAGCCCAGCCGCCAAGCGGCCTGACTCCAGGGGAAGACCACCTTCCCACTCCATCCCTCTTCTGGCTCCCCATCCATCTGCTGAGAGCTGCTTCCACCACTCAATAAAACCTTCTCCAGTCAATAAAACTCATTCTCTAAGCCCACATGTGATCTGATTTTTCCGGAACACTAGGGGAACAACCCTGGGATACAGAAAGCCCTCTGTCCTTCCAATAAGGCAGAGGGTCTAATTGAGCTGATTGACACAAGATACCTGCAGACGGCTAAGCTGAAAGAACACATTGTAACACACTCCCACTGGGGCTGCAGGAGCTGTAAACACTCAATCCCAGATGCCACTGTGGGGTCGGAGTCCCAGGACCTGCCCATCTGCGTGCTCCCTCCAGGAGTCTGAGCAACAGGGCACCAAAAAAAGCCAGCCACACCCCCATAGCATGCCCTGCTATGGGTGATAAGGGAAAACTCTTCCCGTTTCATGTTTCATTGTTGCTTGGACTCCCTGGATGCTCAGCTCTGTCTCAACCAATGGAGCCTACGAGGCTCCGCCTAGGTTTCTTCTCCCAGTGCTATATCCTGGAAACTTTTTCACAGTCGGGGCATATCATTGCTAGGAGGACGATAGGACTCACCTGGCTTGTTTATTGTCGTTCAGGGCTCACCATCCTTAATTACCCGATGTCAAGTATTTTAAAAAACTATTGTTTTATATAATTTGTACATATTTTAGTTACTTCGGGCAGTAAATCTTGTGCCTATTGCTCCATCTCATCTGGAAGTGGTAGACAATTTTTATGAAATGTTAATTATCCCTTTAGTTTCCACCTTTCCACACAAACCTGGTACATTTTGCCAAAAGGAAAAAATAAAGGACACACTCATACCCAAAGTTCTTCACTTATTCTAATTAGGCAACTTCAAAATTACTTTTAGTTATTTTCTGCTACACAAAAACTAGTCCAGACACTCCTTGGGATTAAGTTATGTCCCCACTTGATTAGGTTGACCAAAGTAAAACCCTAATCGGATTTTTGTTTTGGGTTAGACATGTATGCAGGGTAATTGGAATCAGTAGCTCTTATTGGCAAGCATCCCAGCCCCAATAATCCACTCATGGCAGGGATAGTATTGATAGTGCAAACTCTACATTTTGACAAAAAGACTGTTTCCCAATAAATCTACATTTTCTGAATGCTAGTAATTTTATTCTGTTACATTTACTGATGAATCCATGTGTGCTATTGGTTGTGCACACAGAGAATAAACCAGAGAGCTGACTACCCCAAGCTCACACAAAATTAATGGAAAAGCAAATAAAATAAAAGTTCTAGCTGATATTTACTGAGTCTTTATCATGTGCCATGCACTATTTTAACAGTTTACGTGGTGTATTAACTCATTCAATATCTACAATAACACAGTGAGATATGTAGTATTGCTGCCCGCTTCAAGACGAGAAAACTAAAGCACAGATAAATTTGTGGTGATTTTATGCATTTGCATATTCATCAAATCAAACTTAGGGAGTGAAAAAGAAACGGAACTCACTGATAATTATAAACAAATTGGAAAAATAAGAAAAAGAATTAAGAAGTATTTAAATGACAAACCGAATAGATACAAGATGAAATGACAAACAAGTGTAGCAGACAACAAAATTATTAGCATTCAGAAAAATGTAGGTACATTGGGAAACAATATTTTTGTCAGAGTTAAGAGTTTTCACTATCAATACCATTTCTGCCAATAATTGAGGGTAGAGGGAACTTTTTCTTAGAAGTTTTGGGAAGGGTTGTTGGATAGTTGGGTAAGAAAAACATGACAAGCATTAGAATAGTATGGAAATAAATCAGAGTGGGTTGGGAATAGAGAATAAAGGACGTTTGTGAGAGCTAGAATGAAAGCATAATTGAAAAGGCTTAGTAAGCACATATGGACTGAAATATTTTGGTGGAGAATAACAAGCAAAAGAGAAAAAACAAATCTCAGGTATTTGGAACCTGTGAATGACGCTTTAGAATGCTGATGTTTCTAATGGAATTTTTAGGAATGCACTATTTGTGGATTGTAATCACCAGATGGGAGTGTCTTGTAGTAAGTTGATAATGTTTTGTTAATCAATAGTGATATGACTACTTGAAAATATTAATGTAGTTTCCAAAGACATTTATTTTATAATTTGAGAAAAATTTAGTCACCAGAAGTGTTTACGGAAAATAATTAGTGATTAACTGTCAAAAGAAAGAGATGATGAATAACATAATTCACAAGGGAACAATATAGCATATACTATTTTTTGCCATTTTAAAAACTGAGCCGGGCACGGTGGCTCACGCCTGTAATCCCAGCACTTTGGGAGGAAGAGGCTGGCGGATCACAAGATCAGGAGATCGAGACCATCCTCGCTAACATGGTGAAACCTCGTCTCTACTAAAAATACAAAAAAAATAGCCGGGTGTGGTGGCGGGCACCCGTAGCCCCAGCTACTCAGGCGGCTGAGGCAGGAGAATGGCGTGAACCCGGGAGGCGGAGCTTGCAGTGAGCCGAGATTGCGCCTGGGCGACAGAGCGAGACTCCGTCTCAAAAAAAACAAACAAAAAAAAGCAAAAACAAAAAACTGATTTTTAGGCTACAACATGGATTTATGATTTGTGATAACAACTGTTTTACATATATTTTGTGAAACCAAAGATCATTCATTTTATAGAAGGATAATTACACAGAAAGTCAGAAAGTTATTTACAAGATTTTCAGAAATGTGAACGCACATTAAAAAGCAAAAGTATCATTTTTTCTTGGCGTATAAAATTGCTGTTAGATTAACGTCTAGGTTTTATTCCATTATTAAACCTTAATTGTGAATTCTAAAGTATCTGCACATGGTAAAGATATCTAACAGAACATGTATTCATGGTATCCTAATTCTCAACAGTAGCAGTTTCAGAAGACCCTGGACTCATCACATAGTATATAATGACTTGATGCTATCATTGGCAGAACTGAATTTTTTTTGTGTGTTCTGTAATTCAGATGATGAACCTCTTGAGAAAGCTACAGAAAGATAAAGTCAAAAGCTAATTAAGCTAATCACACTTGTAAGATCTATGTTATTTTTACTTCGGTTTTGGTAGGTTTCTACATATGCTGAATATTTTAATGCTCATTTGTCCTGTTTCTTGAAGGTAACCTGATTCCAAAGCTACTAAATTTATAAATTATATAAAAAGTGAAAAATTAATAACTTTTTAGCTCTTTGCCTAGATTGATATTTCTCCAAATTTTATTCTGTACTTTCTGAGTATGACTAAATTTTTCAGATTCCATTAACATAATACTGACCCATTGATGAATAACATTAATGTCTATTGATTTTTACATATACTAGTTATAGTTCCCTAATCATTTCCTTATTATGGACTCTTACTTGTCACTCACATTTTCTTTCTTTTTTTAAATTTTGAGTTTGTTTCTTGGAAAGTGCAAAGTGTTAAACTGATGAAAATTTTTTTTTTTCCTTATTTTATCACCCAAATAAAGCAGTTAAGAGCACTGGCCTTGTAGACAGAAGTCTGGAATTAAATCCTGCCACCAATATTCAGTTGTGTGATCTTGGGTGGGTTGCTGACCTCTCTGTGCTTCAGTTTCATTATTTGGTAAAATCAAGTTGTAGGAATTATATGTAGCAAACCCAACACAGCACTGATTGCTGGGCATATTTTATGTTGCCATTGCTTGGAAACAAAAGGCAGTAATTTCACTAATTCTGAGAGAGTGTTCGCCTGGTTAAAATAGAATGAGAACATAGAACTATAGATATTTGAAGTTCTGTAGACAAAAGGCAAAAGTGTGTGTTTGTGTAAGTGAGTTTGTTCACATCTGTGTATGTGAAAACTGAATAAAAGTTATACTGAAGTAGAATTGTCATCTATAAAGAAGAGATTGAGTAACTACAAAGCTGTAATTATTTAACAGGCTTCCTCACAAATTAGTGAGTTTCTCTTCCCATAGTTAGCCAAGCAGAATCCAATTACCATGTATTGGTGATTTTGTTGAACAAAGCCATGCACTTAAGAAAGTTTGACTCAGTGACCTCTACTATCCATTCAAATTAAGATTCTGTGAATTTAAATCCACACAGTAATCAACTGTCCTAGAATAAAAGTAGTCCCTCTGGCTCATCTCTTTTTTATCACTCATTATATCAAAGGTACAGCCTTCCTAGAGGCAGACTCTCATTCACTTTTTTTTTTTTTTCCTGAGTCAAGGCAGGATGTATACCCTCAGCTCTTGCGAGGTAGAATTAAGTATCATGGTCCCTTTGCTATAGGGACAACTCTGACTCTGATGCATTATGCATCTGGTTTTAGTAGAATGATAAACCTAGTGGCTGGGCAGTTCTTTTACTTGGTGATAAAATTAGCATTAATTCCCATCTTACTCCATCCTCAAACTAAATTTCCTGAAAAAGATTAGTTAGTTCAGAATTTTGGTTTGGTTGGTTGGTTTAATATACTTTACAAATATGTTTTAATGCAAATCCCCAATCCAACAATATTGACATCAAATAATTTAGTGTGTTATCCTTTCCTATAGACTCAATTTGCAGGGACCACAGACACTGCATACTAAATATATCTGACCTGTTGGCACAGATCCTTTGTCACAGTTTATGTATCATTTACTTGAGTCATAGCTGGCATTTACTTCCTACCCATCACTTAACATTCTGTCCTCTAACCCTCAGTCTCAGAGTCGTTTTCAAATGACTCTTTGTGATTCCATTCAATTTGCAAGCTGATTTACATGCTCCCTGTCTGTGGGAAATGCCATAATATTTTCAATCTGTTCCACTTAACAAATTTGTTGCACAGTAGGGAAGCTATACCAATCATTCTTTCATGATATAAATTTGCAAAGAAAGGAGATGTCCCTGTATCTGATTTTGAAGGATGTGGGCTTCACCCTGTTTGTTAATGACAAACAATGTAAAGATGCAAATTTCAAGGCAATATTGTCTCTGTGTTTTTTGATCTCTTTTTATTGTTTGTAGAATTTTAATTTATGCTGGGCAAGCACAAACAAAAAGTACATCAGAGAGAAGTTAGGCTTTTCAGAGAAATATACACATTGTTTTTAGAATTCAACCAGTATTAAGTAACTTGCTCATAGCAGCAGGAAATAGTTATTCGTCCTCTTCTCTACTTATTGTTGTGTTTATTAGAAATATAAACTGGCTAGAAGAACACAGGCCTCCTGCATTCTGGAGCTTACTAGATGCCATACTGTCAAGCAATATAATTGCATAATCACCTTTCCTCTTCATAACAACTTTCAGAATTGGATATTTCTGTTACCATTTTTACTGAAGACCAGGTTGAAGATTTGAGGAACTTGATGGCCCACCTGCAGTCACTTTTAGAATTTAAGCATGGCTTTTCTGTCTACAAATTCATGTTCCTTCCAAAACACCAAAAATAATGGCATCCATTGAAGGTTTCCAAATAAGGAACATGATGATCAAAGTCATATTTCTTAATAGCCCTTCCTCTCTACCTGCATTTTCCCCATTCATATCCCGTACCTAGTTAATCCTTTTAATAAATAAGGTTTTAGCTCTTTATTCCATATTGTCTTTGCCTTTTATTACTTTGAAACAGGCATTGAAAATAATAGCAGCAACATCTACATCAAAAATTCATAATACAATTGACAATCCTAAAGCCTAATATAACGAGTTTTACATGGCTTCTTTGCATGTATCTAGAGACACAAACCTTTCATAACATGTGATTTTAGAGGTAAACAAAGGTCACCTGATATTAAAAGATTAAAATTTAACATTATGACTTCATCCAAAAATGAAATTCTCCTTGTATTTGATGAATTTTTAAAGAATAATCCATTTGTACATTCATATAAATATGGAAAATACTATGACAAAAGGCTAAAAGGACACAGGCCAAGAAAAGAGATCATTTAAAGACTAAGGGCATTAGGGCAGTGGATAGGATGAAGAAGTTAACTGAAGTGGTTATTAGAGAAATTAAGGTGAATGCTGCTCAAGACAGCCTTGCTGAGAACAGAATGAAAATTAAGTGATGACTAGATGATAAATACTACATTTCCATAACTCTAAGACATTATCAATTTAATAACAACCTTTCAGAAAGTGATGTATCACAATTTGGAAATGTTAAAATATGCAACATTTTGCATTGGTAGAGACATGCAGACCTACGAGAGAATTCACAAGATCTATTCCTTTTGTGAAGGCCTTTATCTTAAATCTTCCACTCTTGTTTGGTACTAGGAAAAGTTTAAGTCAGCTAGAATTTCCACCTAATCCTTCCTGTATTATAGTTTTCTTCTATAATTCACTTTACCTTTTAGCAATACATTTTATATTTGAATTCCAGTCCAATGCATCTGTCCTCTGAAACCTGATATGATACAATGGTTTGGTTCTGCTTCATCCAATTTCCTTCAGGGCTCAATGGAAGAAGGGGTGTTGTCCCATTCAGTGGTCCACAACATGAAGAATAGTGGCTATAATTAGTAGTGGGGCAACTTACAACATGGAAGTATCAGGAAGAAGACATGTAAAAGTAGCCAGAAAATTAAGCCTTTTAATTGGCTGGGTAGGTTAGCGGCAATTACGCTTAAAAAAGGTATTTAAGGTGGTTTCTACATTCTTTACCAAAACCTGACTGATTTAGTGCTTGGTACTGGGCATGTTTACTAGCAGCAGTATTAAGTTGCTTCTCGTGGGAAAATAGTATACTGAAAGTCCATGGAATGAGGTGGCTAATGAGTTTTTTAAATTGTGTTAGTGGTCACCTGGAATGAGTGTCTATGAAAGATGAAGCATTGATGGACCAAGTGGCTGTTGCTGTAGATCATTAGCATAGGAACAGCGAATACAATTACTGTGGGATGAGCCAGCAACTTTTGGCTGAATTGGAGAGGTGAAAGAAAGATAATATGTCTTGATCAGGTTTTAAATTCTTGACTCAAGAAATATACAGAAGGCCAGGGAGCTACAGTACTATACTAATATAATCTGTTATCTCTTTAGTCACAAAAGCTGATGTAGCTAGAAATCAGACACAATTTAACTTTCATCCATAGTCCTTTAAGCCTTCTTATTTGAAACAATGCATTGTCAAGGAATGCCTAAAGCCCTAAGAAATAAAATGTATGGAAACCTTGGGTAAATTCAGATGGATATTTATTATAGTCCAATAATTCCAGACCTACTGATTCTCTTGACAGCAGAAGCAACTTCTCCTTCTTCTTTTTTTTTTTTTTTTGTTTGTTTTTTGGTGGAATTTCGCTCTTGTTGCCCAGGCTGGAGTGCAATGGCATGATCTCGGCTCACTGCAACCTCCGTCTTCCAGGTTCAAGTGATTCTCCTGCCTCAGCCTCCCAAGCCAAGTAGCTGGGATTACAGGCATGCACCACCACACCCAGCTAATTTTGTGTTTTTAGTAGAGACGGGGTGTCCCCATGTTGGTCAGGCTGGTCTCGAACTCCCAACCTCAGGTGATTCGTCTGCCTCGGCCTCCCAAAGTGCTGGGATTACAGGCATGAGCCACCACGCCTAGCCTAAAAGAAGCAACTTCTTACTCCGCATCACTCAGGACTTCATCTTTTGAGGCTGGGACTTCCTTGCTTATGATGATTATACCTGACATAACTTTCTTGTAAGCAAATTCCATTTCCCTTTATGTCCTTTCCCTTCTATTTCTCATTTCTTCCAATTTTTAACTAAAATAAGATCCTAGCATGCTAAAAGAAGCAAAGGCTTAAGAACTGGTAGACTATAATATATTGGCAGAATGCTAGAGAACATGTGTGGGGACAGATTCTAGGAGTGATTCACTGGGGGAAAAGGAACATAATATTTTAATTTAATCTACTCTGTCTATATAGGTAAGATTACCAGAAAATCTCACCCATTTAGATACAGTATAATCAGCACCCAGAAAATCTGAATTCAAGGACTTGGCTAGGGCATCTTGAAGTAGTTGTGACTTTGCTTGGCATATTAGCTGACATTTGGACCTAACTATGGCCTGTAATAAACTAATTTAAGATCCTAAAAGTTCCTAGAATTGGGGTGGTGGTGAAGGAGTCTAAAATTTGAGGAACATAAAAATGGAACTCTCCTCATAGCTCCTAAATATTGGGAAGGTAGAAAAAACACTTATTTAGCCAGTACATTGAAAAATACGCGATGAGGAAACAATCACCATCCTCCAATATCATCCTAATATCTGTCCTCTATAGGTGAAAGGTGAAGACAAACAATGGTACCACTGAAATAAGTACTTTTATTTCAGTGAGCATGATAGATTCTAGAGTGTTAGAAGGCACTCGGCTGCTTAACCACCAGGAGCAATTTGCATGTGATTTCTGCTATAGGTAAGTTAACAAGAAGCAAAATCAGAATGGTTAAATCAATAAAAATAACTGTTGTAGATGAGTGATCTTGCAGTTTCTAGGTAAATGTGGCTGTATCCTCTCGTATTGTTATAGCTAAGGAACAATTAACAAAATTTTTGTCCTCTCTTTCCGTGATTTAAACATTTTCTGGGGCTTACTAAGGGTCTTACTTTAGGGTCTTACTAAGATCCAAAACCCTCAAAGTCACAGTGATTGCAAGG
This sequence comes from Homo sapiens, assembly GCF_000001405.40. NCBI lineage: Eukaryota > Metazoa > Chordata > Mammalia > Primates > Hominidae > Homo > Homo sapiens. The sequence continues at coordinate 84,654,555 of NC_000005.10, forward strand.
GGAAATCAACAATTATTTTATCAGACATTTGAAACTTCTCATGTTTCTGAAACTGTAGACAAAAGAAATAAAAAGAAAAAGAGAGTAAATTTAGACTGGGGCAATGGTTCTAATTATCAAAGAAAAATAGAATTACTGCTACTCAACTCGGAAAGAGAGGGTCATTCATTTTCCCAAGTGCTTCTCTGGGGAACCTTTCACTTGCCCATAACAGTGCAACATATAATGGAAGACTATTGAAATGTGGTGCTGGTGGGACACCCAAGTGTTTATACCTTTTAAGAATGAAGAAGTAATTCACCTATCATGTAAAGAAATGTGATCAGTTGAGGTGCTGGATACAGGCTAAGGGAACAACAAAGGGGTATAAGATGAAGAAAGTTACGAAGGCCAACTCTAGGCTGTGACCTCAAGCCCATTTTTAAAAATGGTCTTCTTCCATCTTTGCTTTATTCTAATCATGTAAGTTTAACAATTCCCCCACCCCCCATGGCTTTATATACTATGTCTTTATAGTACTTAAAAATAACTTATTCTTTAAGTAATAGAATATAATGGCATTATTGTGCCTGAACAGAAGAGAGATAAACATCACACAGAAATGAGAAGTAAATGATTGTTGGGACTTCATGAAGCCCATTTTGGGAGATATGTTTTCATTTGTTGGTGCATAACTTCCTAATTTAGGTGATAGTGTATTATTATTG